>NC_000005.10:20913881-21216911 GCF_000001405.40 Homo sapiens | reverse complement strand
TCCAAGCAATTTACTTGTTCATTATTTCAAGGTCTCTCGCGAGACTGCAATCAAGGCTTCTGCCAGGGTTACATTCCCATGTGAGGATCAACTGGAAAATAATCTGCTTTCAAACTCATGTGGTTGCTGGCAGAATTCAATTCCTTGTGGGGTGTTGGATTGAAAGCTTCAGCTTGTGTGTGGCAGCAAGCTGGAGGTCATCCTCAGTCCCTCGGTGCCTGTTGGGAGGGGGCTGCCCTTCATTCCTTGACATGTGGACCTCCGTTACACGCCTGTTTGCTTCATCAGAATATATAAGCTGAGGAGGCAATAAAGACAGCCTGCTAACAAGATGCTGTTTTCATCCTAACATAGAATAAGCACAGAAGAGTTATCTCATCGCATTTGCCATATTATTTTGGTTAGAAGCAAATTATAGAGCATAAGGTCTCACCCATGCTCAAATGGAGGATGTCACACAAGGGCATGGATCCCAGGATGCAGAGATCACTGGAGCCATTTTAGAGCCTCCTTGCAGTATAAGATATAAAGGAGTATTTGATCCAGAGAATCTCCTAAGCTATCACTTTTTGAACATTATGGAAAGGAGGTAGGAAATAAGGAATATAATTAGGTGAAATCAGCAGAACTATGCACACTGAGTTAATTGTAAGGAAGAGGATATTTCTAGTAGTTGCCAAGGATTCTATATTACATGATACATTGAATAAGATGGTCTAACATAACACTTAGAGTCAATGATACCATAAACAAACCAAAGTTTGTATCAGTAAGAAGCCTAAATGTGTTAACATACGCGTTTCAAAACTAGCTGTTATAATAGAGTATGTGTTAGCACTGACATCTATTATACATATTTTTAATCAATTATATCAGGGTTTTTTGAGATTTAGGAAAAGATACTCAACATATAATTGTTTGTGAAATACCATGTCCCTCTGCCTTAAAGAACTAACTTATGAATAAATTAAATACAACTGGAGCTACTGGAAAGATAAAAGTATATTGACTAAATATTTGTCTGTATAAGCAGGCAAGAAAATTTATACTCTGTCATTGCAAAAGCCATAATGTAACATTTTATAAAACCGGAAAAGTATATTTTACTTATATGTGAATAAGAATGCATTATGAAAGGCCTTAGGAGATAGTTACTTAGTATTATTTCTGCCAAGACTTTATTTCTACACTCTGTCTCACTAGGATCTTACCAGGGTTCTCCATCTATGATTTAAGTGGTGTGTGTTTATGATTAGTAACGAATAATCTTGCATTCATACCAGGACTGTGATCTTTCTTTATGTTTCCTTGTCTGCAGCCTTGATGTTTGATTATTCATTCCTAATCATATTTAATCATTCTTCAGCCTCTTATTTTGCCATTTAAAATCTGTTTGATATTGACGACATAGAGAAAAAAAAATATTTTCCACCATGACTCCTGCTTTAGGAACTTTATTTTTTAAAACACTAAGCTTGTGGTAATTTGTTATTGAAGCCATACAAAATTAATACCCTTGTCTTCTCTGTCTCTCCTTCAAACTCTTTCATCTATTCGACACAGAATGCCGTTTGCTGTGGTCCTTACAAAAGTGTATCTTTTTTCATCATGTTGGTAACATCTCAAAAGTTTCTTTCCAGAAAATGTTTTCCTAGCCATTCTGGATAAATAATATCTGTCTTCCAATAACCTGAAATCACAAGAATCCTGAGTGAGACTTTTCCTTTTCTTTTCCTCATAATGGAACACCCAGAAAGTACCTTACCTGTTCTGTATTTAATGCCTATCTTCCTCCACAAGAATATAAGGTCTACAGTAATAACTTTTAAATTTTTCTTATGGTAATTGACTTCAGTTACTAAAATTTTGTCCTCAATCTAGGTTACTGAAGAATGAGTAGAAATAGTTTCACTGAGAAATGTCTGTATCATGTTTGTTTGTTTGCTCTTCCTCTAAATATTGGCTTTGCTCAATAGTCAATATTGTAGGTACCAACCTCCCTGAAGATGTTTTGTGATTGTGTAGTTCCCAGCTTACTTAATTCTTTTGGTTATTGCCACTGACTCTCCAAGAAAGTTGATACTGTATTTAAGAAAAAAGATGAATAAGAAGTAATTATATGCCTTACTTTCTGAAACATTAATGAATTTTAAAATATCTCATGTAGGAAAATAATATAATTATGCTTTTCCTTAATTATAGTCTTATACTACTTGTTTTTATAAGAAGCTCATATAATTAGCCATTGTTATTGGACCATGCAATATGGGATGTTATTTAGTTAATAATATTTCACCTAGCCCATCCCTCCATTTTTTTTATTTCAGTGTAGTTTGTTAAATGATTTATTTTGTTTTTCATTTCTCCTTATTTCCCCCTTTTTCTATTTCAAACAAATTGCCAGACTTTTCATAATCTCTCACTAGAGGGATATTGCCATATCAAAAGCAAATGATCTTGATTTAATTAATAGTTGCTGCCTTTTAAACCCCAAGCATAATGAATGGTATACATTAGGTTTGGTTAGGGGTAAACAGATGGGGTCGGGCAGGGAAGTTAATGACCTTTAAAAACAGTATAAGCTGAGAATGTGTCTTTTTTGACTTGGAAGGGGAGAGAGATCTCCTTGTCTTTTACCAGGCAGCACCCAGATGACTGGTCCTAGCATCTGGACCTGACATTTCCTAGTATCATCAAAGTTTCTTTTGCCCCATTAATCATGCCAAAGCAGAATATTCCAAGAATCTGATGGAAACTTTTAAACTGGGACAATATATTTCTCAGTACGAATTTGTGGGAGGGGATCAAAGAATCATCACTATGCTTTAGTGATGTGTGTAAAATCTTAGTTTTTCTTTTTTTTCTTTTCTTTTTTTTTTTTTTTTTTGAGACAGAGTCTTGCCCTGTCACCAGGCTGGAGTGCAGTGGTGCGGTCTCGGCTCACTGCAACCTCCGCCTCCCAGATTCAAGTGATTCTTCTGCCTCAGCCTCCCACGTAGCTGAGATTACAGGCATGCAGCAGCACACCAGGCTAATTTTTCTATTTTTGGTAGAGACGGGGTTTCACCGTGATGGTCTCGATCTCCTGACCTCGTGATCCTCCCTCCTCGACTTCCCAAAGTGCTGGGATTACAGGCGTGAGCTACCATGCCCAGCCAAATCTTAGTATTTTTATCATCTTTAAGCAGAAAGCCTCCATCATGAACAGGATTGAATTTGTCATCAGCTTAGTCAAATGTGGCATTGGAATTAAATGAATCTAGATTTAAATAAATTTTAAAACAAATTTTACTTCATTCATATCATTCATACCTAGGTTTGTGGTTATAAAAACCATTTTTGTTATTTCACCAAATATACCCTTTATTGATATAGCTCATCATGTATTTTTTCTCTGAATGAAAAAGGTTTTTTTTTTATTTCCTCTGACACTAAATTACCTATAAGCATCACAAACTTCTAAGGCATGTCAACAATATAAAGCTCTAATTAACTAACTGGCCCACATAAAAACCATTTATAGGGATAGAGATTAATAAATCTAATGATGAATGAATCATTTATGAAAGCTGAGTCTGAATTAGCATCAAGTAGTCATCCAAAGCTCAAATTATATGCATTATGTGAAGTTATAGAGTAATGTCTGACATTTGAAGGTCATATAAAAGACAGTCTTCAAAAAATGGTGATAATTTTACATATATCTATCTATATGAGATTGGAAAGACTGCCTATTTCTCCTATAGAGGTCTAAAATTTGAAGGATAGTGGAGATTGTTGTGTATTCAACAGCTTAAACTGCTTCTTATTATTTGTGACTATTTCCTGCTTCATTACCTTTCTTCAGAAAGAGGTAATAAATGCAAAATCTTCTGTCAAGACGCAACCCTTGTTCTTACATTACTCACACCTGCTTTCAGCATAAATGTCATGCAGTACGTAATGTGAATTTTTCAACAGAACTCAAGGCAGACTTTTTTCTAATTGAAAGAAAATGTGCCTACCTTCATCTCTTCTTTCTCAAGCTACTCATCCTCTCTTTTTCTGTGTGATTTTTAGCATGAGGCTTTTTGTAAAATTCAGTTCATATATGCACAATAGCATACAAACTAATTATAAGAAAATAGTGGAAGCTTTGAAAAATGACGTATCAAAACATTGCTACTCCGCAATGTAACTTTTATTTAGAAACTTCCCACATAGGCCCTGTGGCAGCAACTTACTCAATAGGCCTTCTTGTCTGATCCAAAGCACTTACTTGTACCTACACTGTGAATTCAATAATGGACTATAAAGAATTCTTCCCAAACAACCATTGCATAACCGTTTGCACATCTTTATGAGAAATATGTCTTTAAGGAGGAAATTGGAATTCAATATTTAAGACATTTGAAAGAAGAAAGTCAATAAAGTGATAAAGATGAGATGGATGGTAAGACAAAAGCAGTGACCCTGTGTCTTAGCAGGCTGAGCTTGTGCAGTGTTGCAATCAGCTTATTGAAGACGGCTTTTAAAAGGTTATTATTCTATTCTACTGTAAGTGTTGAGAAACTGTTTTTTAACTGCAAGTTTTTAAGTCTCAATTTTTTATCTTACATGCCTGTTTCTTCCATTTGTCAACAGTGAAATAATACACTGTGAAGTTATTGCTCTTACTCAGCATTTCTGTGTCTGGGAAATGGTCCACTTGAAAAATGTCCAAGACCTCCTTAGGCCTGTTTCAGTGGGAGAGGTATAACCCTTCTCTTCTCCCCAATGCACAGATGCAGTGTTACTAGGAGGGCACTCTGTACCATCTTTATATGGGTGTAAAATACCAAGAAGGCAGGTCTGAGCAAAGTTTATTGACTATTAGAAAGTGGAAAAGAGTAGAAAGTCTCAAATGCCAGCCAAGATCCTTCAACTCTGCAGACATGACTGTAGGACATTTATAATAAAATGCAAGTTTGATCAAATTGGAAATATGAAAATTACAAAACAAAAAGATCACAGATGTTCACAAAAGATTGATATATACCTGAGGTTCATAAACAAACATGGGATTGTATATATTTTTTTCAGATAGGTAAATTATTTGGATATTAAATAGTACAAAATCTGAATTTTGAAGGAAACAAAAGTAGTTAATGTTTTTTAATAAACTAGAACTTGCAAAGGTTAGGTAGCTTTTTCTAGATCATGCAAATAGTAAATGGTGGGGTTTAAGATGTGTGGAAAAAAGATATAAAGAGATATATAAAATTCAAGCTGAGATTTAAAACAATGAAATAGCTTATAAAAATTAGCTTATGGTCCTAAAAATAGCTTTTGCATAAATTATATTCTCAGACTTATAGCTTTATTATCTTATTTTATGGGATTTATTATAAATAAATTTTTTATACAGTGATTGAATTTTGGGTAAAAATATAACAGTCCCTTCTTGTGCATATATTACTTAACCTCATCAGTATTCAAAAGTTCTGATCATTTTTTCCCTTTTCAGATACATTCTTTTTAATTCTCATGCATCACTACGTGGTTTTGCTCATGCAGCTCAGTGCACTTCAGTCTTCTAAAGTGCCTCCTGTATCAAATAAAATTTTACGTTCTGCAGTGATCTCCTGTAGTCACAGTTTTAATCTCATTCTACACATCTCCATGTGACGATGAGAATCTTCGGTTTCATGGACAGTATCACTACCAAGTTGCAAAACCAGAAAAGGGGGCAGTGTAATTTTGTCTCTCTCTCTCACTCATGACATTTACTGGCATTAACCACCACATCTCCATATTTAACTAATGCATTCCCTTTTCTTTATCCTTACACCCAATCACCTTGAACTCTTGTCCAAGCCACCATCAACTCTTGCAGAGATGACTGCAAAACCATCTTCTAATGCATTCTTCATACAGCTGGCATAGAGAATAAGGGATAATCCAATGTTATAATTCTTCAAGGGCAGTTTTTAAAATGACATTGTGTGAAACTTTTCTTCTTAAAAATATATTATTCATTTTTAATTTGATTTTTGGCAGTAGTATTTACTTCATTAAAATTATAATTTCAAACTCTGAATTTTTAAAAATTTTTACATTTAGCTTTCACATGTTCTGTTTTATTTATGTCTAAGAACTGTAAATCACATTTAATATTCTAATGCTTATTGTCCTTAACAGGGTTAATTACTTAAATCCCTTTAAATATTTTAAATCACACATATTTTTAATGTATATGATCTCTTGATTAAGTGCTTAAGTAATGGTTTAGCATACAAATCTACATAATTAATTCTTATAAATATAATAAATTATAGTTATAAATATGATTATTATTTGTAGCTTATTTAAGTGATACAAGTATATTTATAAATTTAATGTGATTTTGGCCTAAAATCACAAATCATATATTTTAAAGTGAGATCCAAAGACTGATCTATTATTCAAATTTTGCACATTCTCACATTACAAATGCAAGTAACTTCTGTTTAAGATCAGTAATAAGGTCCTATCAAATCAGATGTTTTGTGTGAAGACAATAACCAGGAACTCAATTCTACTTATTTATTTATTATTATTATTTTTTTTTGAGATGGAGTTTCACCCTTATTGCCCACACTGGAGCGCAATGGCACAATCTCCGCTCACTGCAACCTCCACCTCCCAGGTTCAAGTGATTCTCCTGCCTCAGCCTCCTGAGTACCTGGGATTACAGGCGCCCACAACCACGCCTGGCTAACTTTTTTGTATTTTTTAAGTAGAGACGGGGCTTCTCCATGTTGGTCAGGCTGGTCTCAAACTCCCAACCTCAGGTGATCTGCCGGCCTTGGCCTCCCAAAGTGCTGGGATTACAGGTGTGAGCCACCGCGCCCGGCCAGTTGTATTTATTTTAGGCAGATACATGTACAATACATGTCTAATTAATGCAACACTTCCAATGATAATCAATGTAAAATGAAAACACACTTGGGGAAAATGCCTATGTATAAGTAACAAACTATTATGTTAACATTTAAACATGCTTTAAACAACATTTTCTCTTCTCTAAACATTTAATGTGGTTATTTTGAACAGGTTCTGTGCATTCATTAGCATTTACGTAGTTGGCATACCATCCCCAAACCTTTACATTTTCAATATAGCTTGGCAAATAACCTAAGACAAAAAAAATACATCTGTTCAAAACATTGCACACAAAAATTCACAATAATAGACCAGGTGATTTTCTAGAGGGAATGACACTCACTAAGTGACTGATGATTGAAAGGGTGAAGAAAATTGAAAAGAGAGGAAGGAAAATCATTGACACAGCCATCATAGTTGTGAAACACACGGTGACAGAATGTTGGCAAATTCAGACAAGTTGTCATACTCCGAATTAAAGATAGACAGGAGAAATAATAAAAAATCAATCACTGTAATTAAACACCTCAACAGAAAAAGTAATGCATGCAGAAAAAGCATTTGACAAAATGTATTACCAATTCCTCTCACAACCCTGGCCAAATTCAAATAATCACCTATTAATAGTAACAATACTTGTAATCACTAGATAAAGGCAATGTCTGCCAAGATTCCCCTTTTTATTTTGAAGTTTGTAAGTATTTTGGGGGGGGTTATTTTTTGATTCTGTAAATATCTAAATATCTACAATCTCATGAAACCCCTAATTTATCCATTAATGTATGTTTATATCTGTAGACTGTGGATTCCTGTTTTATTCAATAAGTTATAATCTCTTACTTTTATAATCAAAATTGTTTATTTTGATGCTTAAATTTTCCCACATTTGGTCAGTGGGAGTCACTTTCGGCTTGCTGCTTCTATTTTTACTTTTTGCTTGTTTTTTTTTGTTTTGTTTTGTTTTGTTTTTTTCCTATTGGATGCATCTCATTAACCTTTCTGGCAAAACAAAGTGACTCAGGCTCCTCAATTTGTACCTGCAACTATATCTAAATATCTAAACATACTGAAAGTGTTGATTACCAGTGGTAGGTCCAATTCTTATTTAACAAGATAGTTCATTCTATTAATTCTAATTTTCTCCTTTTTCAGATTTGTGATTCACCTAACTGATATAAGAAGGCTTGCTACCATTATCCTCAGGGTGTTAATGTATTTGACCAATCCTTCTGTTTGTAACCAACCTCTCTTTGTAGCTGACACTCGCAATACTCATTTTACAAACATTCTGATGACCCCATACATGTTCCAACACCCAAATTCACCTCTGTACCCCACCACAGCGACACCCTTCTCTCACTAATAAGGCCTTGAACACCTCATCCACGGGATCAACCTCACAAACAGAAGTCCTCCTCATTTAGCTCAGAATCTAAATGCCCAGTAGGGGCTACTGGAGTTCATTCTTCCCTTTAAGCCAATACCTACATGTCTCAGCCACACGTAGGCGTTTTTTGGACCAAATCACTTCAGAAAGAAAAAAAGTGGAAAGATAAAGAGGAATGGATAAAACTGAAAAAATTTTCTATATTTTAAATGATGGAGTTTTTAGATGATTGAGAAGTGCAAATAGCCAGCTGTAAGAAGGAAGCAGTTATAATGGTTTAAACGAAGGCTAAGCTAATGTAGGAAAAAATAACGTATTCCTTCTTTATTTCCACTTAATTGATCATACATGTGTGGACACTTTTTCTGCTTAATTATGTATTTGACTTATGACTATTCCATTGATTAGTACTGGTCAGAGAAGGAAAAGGGAGTCAGACAAAAATAATCGCCCATATTTAAGTATATAATGGAAAATAACAAATAAGATATTCCGTAGAAGTACTTATAGGACTAAGACACATATGAGCATGGGGAGGTAAGAGGGTGAGAAGGAGAGATAGAGAGAGGGAGAAGGACAGATAGAGAAACAGACAGAGACAGAGGCAGAGAGACAGATGGACTTACTCATTGCAGCCTTTTTTATCTCTATGCAGTGTAAGAATTCTTTGGTATCAACACCTTCTAGAATAGAAAAGTTAGAAAAGAAAAACTATTTAAAGCATTTTTAACCTGTATCATCAATTTCATGAATGTACTTTTTATTTACCTTATGATCCATGTCAATAATGAGGTCATGTTACATTTTCATGTTTAAGATAAATTAAGTTGGAACAAGAGTAGGCTTTATCATTCAAATGTTCTGAAATCAGTAGCATTTTTTTGCTTATTTGTCAGTCTAGCTAAGAGATGCATTTGTTCTAGGGTGGGTTATTTTGTTTGTTTTCAAATCTCATTTAAATATTATAAATGTAATATAAACACGACTTATTGAATATAACTACATCATTTAATATTGAAGGAATTTTAAGTTATTTTTATATGCTTCAGAAAGGTGGACGATTTTCTTGTTGGAAAATATTATGGTTGATTCAGTTTTCATTTCCAAAGTGGAGAAAGGTATATCTACTATCTAAAAGTTATCATCCTCTCTACCTGAAATTTTAATCTAAGTTTTCAACAAAAAAGGATAGATTTGTTGGGCTGATTTTTTCAAAATGTCATGGCACTCGTGAAATGCTTTAATATATATTTTTTCTTATTAAAACCATCATTGTTTTAAAATAGCAACATACTTCAACTAATTGTAACTTAACAAGATATGACTAAATAAAAGGAATATAAGAAAAATATAATTGAATAATGGTGGATCTGCTTTTAAGATAAATCATAATTTATTCAAATAACACTTGAATAGAAGTTAGATAAAATGTATGGGAAGCTTAGGCAAGACATTACATAACAATAATTTAGAATAAATAAATCTGAACTTTTTTTTTCTGTAAGAAATCAAATAGTTAAAACAATGTGTTTTCAAAATTCCCTTAGCTCCAGAATTCTTTGGTAGCCTTTCTATACCTTAAATTTATTTATTTTATTATTTTTTAATCTCCTTTCTTTAATTCAATGCTGCTCTGCACATGACATAACAGACCATTCTGTTTCTCCTTTCCTTTAGAATCTGACTCTATTTTCTAAATACAGTTTATTAAGTCTACTTTTGGCCATTGTTGCTTTTCTTAGTGATAATGAAAACAGGGTGCATCATCCTATTATTTAATGTATTACTTATTGCCCCATTCTACATAATGAACCAACTTCCAAATTCACTAGCTTTAAATGACAGTCACTTTTTTTCTTAATACATCTACATGTCAGCTGTTGATTGGTTGATCTAGGTAAGAATGGCTGTGATTGTCCCAGAACCGTAAGTCAAATCTAGGTCTGCTTCACAAGTTTCTCATCCTCTTTGGACAGGCAGGCTGGTAGGAAAGGTGCTTTAGATAGCATCACACAAGTACATTTGATACCTTTGTTACATGACAAATGCTAGTATCTCATTAGCCAGAACAAGGCATGCAGGGTCCAAATTTGAGTGTAGGAAGGTACACTCCACCTCTATTGGGAGAAACTATCAGCTCTGATGCTGCAGGGCATGGGTATAGGGACGCAAGGGTGAATAATGGTGGCTTTTCATTCCAGTCGCCATACTTTTCATGCCTTTTGATATTAGGTATATTGTTTGTAAATGTTAACCTAGCCAATGTCAAAATTGAGGCAATTTCTCCTTAATTTATTTTTTTCATCCGTATCTTCCCCTGGAGCCATTCGTAGCCAGCACCCCTTCTCATCCTAGAATCAATTAAATCCTGCATTACAAGACACCAATAGTTTTTACTCAATTTTTAAGTGGTATTTGTAAATAACATATTATTTTTGTGAGTGTTGCTCATGTTCAAGAGCTCACAGTTGAACTGACCACTTGTTTCATGGATAAAATCATGCAAGTGCAAACAGTCTTTCTAGTGTTATTTCTGCTGACACACCTCGTATACTGCTTAATTATGCGAGGGTAATTAGACTCCTAGATATGAGGCCAAGCAAGGGGTGCCTTTATGGTCTAATAACGGGCAGACAAAAAAAGTTATTGTGTTTGTTGACAATAGCCACATATTCGTAGGTCATTTCAGATGTATTTTGAAGAATACACATCCTAGCCATTAAAAGAGTTTGGTTTTGTTTGTTGTTTGTTTTTTTAATCTGGAACACAAGCTATTATTTACCTTCGGAAAATAACTATTAGGTATACGCTTAGTACCTGGTTGAATAAATAATCTGTACAACAAACCCCGTTACACGAGTTTACCTATAAAACCTTCACATGTACCCCTGAACCTAAAATAAAGTTAAAAAAAGAAAATCATTTATAGGCAAAAAAAATCTCAGGTACCCTATAGATACATATACCTACTATGTACCCACAGAAATTAAAAATTTTTTAAAAGAATATAGAGAAAATGGATCCAGTTTTTCACTCAGAAGTCAATAAAATCTTAAGATATTTTTCTGAAAAATTTGCTTGCTAAGTCTTTTTCTTATATTAAAACATAAAACACTCACAATATTAATATTAAATATTAGGAGATTTTTATAATGTTAAGCAGGATAACTAATCTGTCTTATAGACTCTGAAATGGATGAATTAATTGAACACTGTGATTAATATATTTTCTAATGAATACCATTTAATACTTTACAGACATTGCTTCTCAACATCAGAATGCATTAGAGCAGTGTGTGTTAATTTGTCAACTGTTCTTATAATAACTTCTGTTGAATATGTTATGCATGTAATAGACTCATAAAGATCAATATGTTTCAAAAAATGCTTAAATCTAAAAATGTGAAGAAATAGTGTAAAATTTCAGTGATGCACAATTTAAGAACAATAGTTCAGATTTGACTCTGCAATGATAATAATGCTGAGACTATTGAAAATATGGTGAAAAAGTAGAATCACATTGAATACTATATGAAGTAAATTTCAGATAGATTAAATACTTAAGTATTAAGCGATAAAATAAGTAAGATAACTCAGGGAAATACATGAATTAATAACATTTTTAATCAACTGGAAACTCTGAAATTACTTGCTAATAATCATTAAAAAATAAACTATATGTTATTGCAGTTTTAGATGTGCAGAAAAACATAAAGAGAATATGGAGAGTTCTGATACACTTTGCTTCCAGCTTCTCTGTTATTAGTATCTTACAAAAGTCTGGTTCATTTATTACAACTAATGAACCAATATGGATACTTTGTTATTACTAAAGTGCATACTTTTTAGATTTATTAGTCTTTACCTCATTTCAACTTTATTTTCCAGGATTTCATCTAGGATTCCAGACATTTAGTTGTTCTATCTCCTTAGTCTTCTCTTGAGTATAAGTTTCTCAGACTTTTCTTGTTTTTGAAAACCTTGGCAATTTTGTGGAATACTAGTCATATATTTTGTAGGCTGTTGCTCTATTTCGATTTGTTTATTTTTCTAATTATTAGACTGGGGCCATGTGTTTTGGGGAAGAAAAACATAGGGTAGAAGTGCCATCATCACAGATTATCAAAGGCACATGCCATCAACGTGACTATTACTGCAGATATTTACTTTAATCAGTTGGCTAAGGTAGTGTTTGTCAGGATTAAGTTATCTCCCCCAAGGGTTTTTTCACACTGTACTCTTTGAAATGCACTTGCTCTGCACAGCTCACACTAAAGAAGCAGGAAATTATGTGAGCATAGAGTATCTACATAAATTATTTTAAATTCTTCTGCATGGGATATTTGTCCCTACTTTCCCATTCACGTATCTATTCAATCATATATTTCTATCATTGCAGATTAATGAATATTTATTTTATATTTTAAGTTATAATCCAATACTATGTCAATATTACTCATTTTAAAAATTTTGTTGCTGAAGTTGTTTTAGCTTTGGCCATTGGAGGTATTAGAATTGTCACCGGTGTCCCTTTGACAGACTCTTATCATATGAGTATATGTGTTTGCTTGGTTTGTGTGTGTGTGTGTGTGTGTCTGTACTTCTTTTCTTTTTGGTACAAGACACTTCAGGCTCATCTTGTATGCTTTCTGTAATAATCCTAAAAAGCTGTAAATGATCCAAGGAGCTTCATATACTTGTTTCCACTTGGGTTGTTGTTGCTTCTAAGCCTTCAACAGAGATAGCAAGTTTTATGTGTGTATCCTAACTTACGTATATATGTTCATATATATCAATATTTCTGTATCTAACCATCTCTATCTGTATTAAACTAAACATGAGTTCCTACTGATGTCTCAGACTCTAATCAATTGCCATGTGAATAATTCTTTCTTTCCTTGCTCATCCGTGCACTCTCACCATTATATTAAGAAACTAAGATCCTATCATCTGCCATCAATTTACTTAATTGTAGAATTCCAAATTACATGTATAGTAATATCAGAATTATTAACCCATACCCTTGTGTGAAAAAACTTTATCAACAAGATCACTATATTTATACATTGTGTGTTTGCCTTTCATTTTACAGACTCCACTTATTTCAAAAATTATTTAGATTATCTTTTTGTTTCACCCCCTCAGTAAGCTTGCTTCACACATTTGTAAAATGGTTGAATTGTATTTTTTAAAATATAAATAAAAATAAATCTGTTTTATGGTGAAATGTAAAATAAGCAAATGTAGTTTAATAATGTTAGATATGAAAAAATTTGATTGGTATACTAAATGTATCACGAGCTCTTAAAATTGACAAGAAATATACAAAAACTCCGATAAAAATATTTGTAAGTGGAATGAGTATAAAATTTGCAGAATAAATGCTAATAGCCAACAAAAGTATGAAAAGATGCTCAAATTCCCAAGTAGCTAGGGAATTTCAAAAGAAAGTAACAGTAAGTTATTATTGGTGAGGATGCATACACTACAAAATAATAATTAAGGCCTTTTTTTGTGGATAAAAGGGAAAGGCCATTCATATAGATTACTTATGGAAATCAACCTGGCCACCAATTAAAAAAAATAGTTATACCCTGCCTCTAAAAAACTTCCCCTGAAAATTCACCTAAAAATCTATTTTTTGTTAAGGATACATATGCAAGAATATGTATCTCATTATTCTTCATAATGGAAAGAAAATGAAACATCTAAATATCCATCAGTTAGGGAATGAGTGAATTATGCTACATATGTAAAATTTAAGAGCATGCGTACATTTAAAAATTGAATTCTATGCCATTGATTTGGAAGAATATTCAAAAAATGAGGAAAATAAAAATGTAAGAAAAACAAGATGTATTAAGTTTCTTATAATGGTATTTCTTTAAAGCAAAATACACTTTATATGTATGTGAGCATTTCATAAAAATGAAATAAATCCTACATATTATTTTGTATTAAGTGTATTTGCAGTATTGAAGTAAGGGATGATGAAGAACGTGGATAATTTCAGTGATGGGAGAAATTTATGGTAGGTAAATAAGTCAAACTTAAAAAACTGCAAAAAAGCAATCAGAAAGGATCAAATTTATGCATATATATTAAATTATGTGAGTGGTATGCATATGAAAAATTAGATAAAATAGCATAGAATAAATTATATTACAGGCCCCTATTACTGTATTTAATTAAATATTTTTGTAATTATTTGTTACATGGTTTGCCATTTGACAGAGATTGCATATATATGGATGTGTGTGTGCTTGTGTGTGTATTTTAAGCCTATTTTATTTTTGTCTATATAGAGTAACATTGTTTCTCTGTATTATTATCATATAGTAAAAACATCTATACAAAATGTTTAATAAAAACTACAAGAAAATATGCAAATTACAAATGTATAAGTAGAAAAATATCAATTTAATTTGAATTATAAAATAATATCATACCTGAGCTAAAGAGCAACTGGGAAGTAATTAGCCATTAATTTTCATGTGACTTTTCTCAAAATATTGGTTGGCTTAGAGCAATTAACTTAATAGATGACTTCATTTTAAAACACCACTTTAGACTGAACTGAAAAGCATAATACTAGTATGATCTATAAAACCTTTCCAGAAAACTTTAAAAAAAGTGATGAACTCATTTCAATTATAGTAACATATACAGCCACCTTTCTATTATAGATAGAAATGTGTGCATGTACTATAAAATAATCTATATATCCACACACTGTAACATCTTCTTTTTCTTTTTTATAAAATATTTTCTAATTAGAAATTCAGTGAGTATTCATCCCTTAAAGTGTTATTAGCCTTTCTAGACTCTGGGATTTATCTCGTTCCAATAGTTATTCAAAATCAGTGCATTTCTTTTTCCAATAAAAATGGCTTATCTCAGGTAAATAGTATGTCATATCTAGAACCTCAAACATATTGCAACAGAGAATCTCAGAAAATTAAAATAGTGTTGGTTAAATATATGAAGTTCATATTATTGGCCCTGTGAGCAAAAGACAACGGAAAAGTTGGTCTTGGTAATCAGGGTAACAAAAAATGAATGTGATGTTTTCATTAGACATTGATTATATGGACATTAAGAAACCTCCATCATTCATTTGGTGTATTAACATTTTCCCAAATGTACAAGAAAATATTACTGAAGAACACTAGTGCTGCGCATGTGCACGTGCATGTAGTAGTGTTTTCCAGTATTTCAGAATTGGAGTCGACCCCTGGACAAGGAAAAATTTAGAACACTGTTGTTTTAGGGGAAGTGTTTACAATTTTTAATGCCTTCAATCTCCAGGCAAGTAATATGATGCTACAGCTGAGTTGGAGCTGATCACAAATCAGCGTGCGCATAACCTGTCTCAGGACATTACAATTCAATGTAAATAATAAAAAAAAATCTTTCACCAAACAAAATAAGCCCCCAGGATGAACCTGCTTTGCAGTCCTCAGATTTGTAAACTTCTGCCTCATAACAAGATACAGCTCTCTGCATGTACTCTTTTGAAATTTTCACGAAGTCAAAGCTTATTAGCAATGTTTTCACAGTGATATTATCCAATATGTCACACTGACATAATCAGAAATCATGTGTTAGGCCTATTTGGCAGAAATATTCAGGAGTTATTTAGTATGCTCCTATAAGAAAATATTCTACTTCTGGCTGAGATGAATTGACAGAAACAAGATATACACTCTTCTAACCTTAAAGAGTAAAATATGGGGAATCAAACAATTTTGATAACATTAAAGATAGAAACCAAATAAGTTAATCCTTACGACTGCCCTAATTTTTTGCTAAGAGCGATTTTCCAGTATGCAGAGAAAAATGAGGAAAACAGGTGAAGCCTGGCACACTCTAAATTTAGGAGATTTGAGACCCCAAAGAGCCTGTAGTTCACAGGAGAAAATACTGGTGTAACACAAACAGAGAACTCCGAGGATCTGCAGAGGGTACACCTCAATTACTGAGATGAGTAATGATTGGTATGTGTAGGAGAAAAGAACCATCCAACATATTTGAGGTTACAATGCCTGTAAAAGTGCCTGTTCTCATTAGATTCTCTAAATAATGTATGATTTACAAAGTGTTGTGTACAGAACACACAAGGGTCATGCCTCACGAATGGGGGATCCTTAGACTGAGAATTGATTTAATTCAGCTTAACAAACCTTAAAAGTAAGACTTAAAAGAAGCAGCCTGTTTTCAAATAGTGTAACTATGTCCCAAAGTAAACTCAAACTATTTATAGAAATAAATAAAAAATATCTCCAGAAAAGTTAAGACGATATTTGGCAACCAATTAATAATTACCAGGCATCACGTTCCCAAAAAAAAAGAAATAAAAAATAGAACTTCCGTATGATCCAGCAATCCCACTCCTGGGTCTATATCCAAAACAAAGGAAATCTCTATGTGAAAAGATATCTGCACATCCAGTGTTTATCACAGTACTATTCATAATAGCAAGATATGCAATCAGCCTCAGATATCCATCAACAGATGAATTGAAAATGTGGTGTATACACACCAAGAATGGAAAGAAAATGTAGTATATGTACACAATGGAATATTATTCCACCATAAAAAAAATGAAATACTGTCACTTTCAGCAACATGGATGAGCCTGGAGGACATTATGTTAAGTGAAATAAACCAGACACAGAAAGACAAAAATCGTGTTTTTTCATTCATCTATGGGAGCTAAAAAACAGATCTCATAGATGCAGAGGGTAGAATAGTGGTTACCAGAGGCTGCAAAGTTTATGGGAGGGGGCAATGAAGAGAGGATGGTTAAAGGGTACAAAAATACAGTTAGAAGGAATAAGTTCTAGTGTTCATAGCACAGTAGGGTAAGTATAGTTATCAATAATTTATTATATATTTCAAAATAGCTACAAGTGAAGATTTAGAATGTTCTAAACATGCAGAAATAATAAATGTTTGAGCCAATGGATATCCCAATTACTCTGATTTGATCATTACTGGTTGCGTGCATGTATCAAAATACCACATGTAACCCATAAATAAATACAATTTTTATGTATCAACAAACAAAATGTCCAGGCATGAAAAAAACTTTGAAATTTGACTCACAATGAAGATAAAAAACAATAAAATACAAATGATGTTGAATTAACACATACCTTGGAATTAGCAGGAAATAGAAATTGAGTCTATCACATATGTTAAAAAAAAGTTAAGTTGATATGAAAACTAGCTTTAAATGCAAATAGAATTGAGATGAGAAATAAAACTTGTAAGATAAAAATTACATTAAAAACTATTTAAAATTAAACATAGAAAGGAAAAGGGAGGAATCTGGCTCCAAGCCAAAATCTTGTGTGTGATCTTTGAGGCCCTGCCAAAGGTCATTATAAAAGTTTTCCATGCAGGTCTTGATGAAGAAAACTGACCTCCACAGCTTGGTGTGCACAGTCAGTGCAGCGCAGAGTCTGAAGGGAGTTACCAACAAAGTTTAAGCCCACAGCCTCCACCCCACACATGCCCAGGCTGAAGCTGGCCACAATTTTTCGTTTTTACTTAGATCTGCATTTCTAGCTCGAATGCCTCCCTAGAGGCCTCCTTATTAGGAGAGCTTCAGCCCAGGCCAATCCCAGGTATTTCCTTGTGGGGAGATATTTAACTACTAACAACATGAATTATTATTAAACAAAGAAAATTTAATTTATTTTTGATTCTGTCTTGGTAAAGCTATACTTATCTAGAATTTTAATTCGTTTTCCAACATATTAATTCCAACATTAATCATGTTCATTAATTTTATTTATAAGATATATATTTATGTATAAGATATACAATATTTCGTGTCCCTTCTTTCATGCCTCATGTCTTTATCTGTGCCTTCCCAATTAAGTTAAAAAGTAAATTTTTTGTGTGGTCACTGCATTGTTTTTTCAGCTGCCATCCTCTTAATTTAACCTCTTTTTGTTCCCTGACTTGCTATTCTCTGGATCTTTGGGTTCTTCTACTTCAACCAACGTTCCATATTGATTTCAGATTGTCTTAAAGTGCATCTTTCATCACTTAACTTTTCAGCTCAAATACTTTTACCATTCATTTTTTTTAAAGAAACATTTTACTCTACCAAAATCTAACTTCCGTATTATAGCCTCAAAAGTTTCATTCATTTAATAGTAATTAATATGTGCTTATTATATGTCAAGTATGAGGTTTTGCTGGTCAGCAAAAACATAATCTATTCTTTCATGTCCTTTCATTATAGTGAGAAAGTAAAATGTCAATTAAACAACTACAAACTCATGAAATTTCAGAAGTGCCATGATACAAAGGAGAAGAACCAATTCTATGACTGTGAAATAGAAGTATTTAGCTAGCAACATCAGCAGTTCTTCCCTAAAGAAGTCATGCTTCTATTAACAGCTGAAAAATAAATAACATTGGACTAGTAATTAACAATGACTGATAGCATTAAAGAGCATGGGCCGGGCACGGTGGCTCACGCCTGTAATTCTAGTACTTTGGGTGGCCGAGGTGGGCAGATTAACTGAGGTCAGGAGTTCAAGACCAGCCTGGCCAACATGGTGAAACCCCGTCTCTACTAAAAATACAAAAAATTAGCTGAGCGTAGTGGCACACACCTGTAATCCCAGCTACTAGGGAGGCTGAGGCAGGAGAATCGCTTGAGCCTGTGAGATGGAGGCTGCAGTGAGCTGAGATCATACCACTGCACTCCAGTGTGGCCGACAGAGAGAGACTCTGTCTCAAAAAAAAGCATGTATGAAGATCCTGTAGCGAAGTGGATGGGGAATAGTGTTGAAAAGAGAAGGAATGCTAGCATGGCTGGAATGGAGCAGGCAATGTGGTGATGAGTTTGGGGTACAGGCAGGAGTCAGACTCCGGAGGGCTTTTATGGCCATATTTAGAAGACTGCTCTTCAATGATTCACAGTTGTAAGTCAATGATTACATGTGTTTTGTAAAAAGTACTTTATTAGCAGAGAAGTAATGTTCAGAAGAGGCCAGAGAGCTAGAGTCAAGTACCTGGGGAAGAATTCAAGGCAAGAAATGATTGTAGCTTAGACTAAAGTTGTAATGGTACAAAGATTACTGGAACCAGACAAATTATATTTTAGAGATGTAAATAACAGTACCTGCTAGGACCTGGGTTTAGGTACAGTTGAGGTGGTGACTTTTTAGTTGTATCTCTCTAATATATTTCAAGTTTATTCAATATTCTCTATGCTATCTATATTATCTGAATAGATTTAACATAATCTATAAAATACACTTCAGTAAAATGTTTTATTATTTTCAGTCATATCACTGGTTAACTGACTCTAAAACTAATCATCTATAAAATGTATTGTCCCTTCTACCAATACTTCCCAGTTTAATATCATTCTATACTTTAAAAAATGACATAAGTTCCCGAATATTTTATGTAAGCTTTTTTTTCATACTTCACCATTTTCACAATGTAACTTCTCCAAATAGATACTAATTGCCATGTTTGGTTCATGCATGTTTTTCTTTGCCTTTGGATATTTCTGGAAAGTCTTCTTGCTTGTCAAACAAGCACATTCTGATTATAACATTCACCTAACAGTTTTTGTTGTTATTGTTGTTTTGGCTTTCAATACTTTTGCATTTTGAAAGAATATTGTACTGGAATGGGTTAACATCATCATCTTTAGCATCCTGGTAGCATTATTCAGTAGTTAATAAACAGACTTTAAACTTCCGCCTGGCTGGCTTTTGAAATAGGAACCTGAGAGACCCCAAACTCAGCCACTCTTGTAGCTTCCATCTCCAGTTCTTTTAATCCTGGCCAAGATGGCGGCCGTGGAGACTTTCTTCCGGTCATAGTCCAGACTGAGGGCAGCCATGCAATCAATGAAGAATGTGGTTAAGTTGATGTGACATTTAATTCAAGTAAGTGAATGTCTTTGCCAAAGAACACTAAGCACTCTTTCCTTTGCACTAATTCTGTATCTTGTAAATTCTTATATTATACCTGGAATGTTTAAACACTGTTTTTATTTTGTTACAAGTCTACTCTCAAGCAAACAAATAAAAATGCCCTTTTTGTACATTATTGGTGTATTTCTAGAAGATATATTTGTTACGTGTTAGATGCTCATTAAATGTTTATTTCTTATAAAACCTGAAGTACATGCTAAGTGTTTACAAAAAATATATAAAGATTTCACTCTTTTATAAGGCGATATTTTAAAATGCAAAGTCTGAATCAAGGTTGCAGTACTCAATTTAAAATTTTGTTGATGAATATCATTTTTCCTTTGAAGGTTTTATATATAAACAAGAATGCATATATTCATTTAATTTACCCTTTAGAGTCTAATTATAATCCAGTGAGATTAAGTTCTCCGTTGTGATGTATTAGACACTGTGGAAAATTTTCTAGAAATTTCAGGCATAAAATAATTAAAATTGCAAAAGTGTAATTGAAGCCATTGGATTTCTTTAGTATATTGACTTCACACATATAGAAAATTAAAGTTTAATTGCTATTCTTGATGGATAACTCTGCTTCTATTAGCTCTGAGGAAGGTAAAATAGGCTTTTAGTAAGCAATAGAAATCCATCCAAACACATGTAATAGCATTTTCTGGGCTTGCTCATTATATTAGCAGTCATTGGAAATACAGTACTGATTCCATATATATTTTATATGCTCCAAATGGATGTTTTAAATTTTATATTAATGATATCAACTAAATAATTTTGAATACCATGGATGGAATCAAAGTCATTCTTCAATGTGTTTCTTATATATTAAATAATACTTTAGAAAAACATAGAATTCTTCATGTTTTCAAATCTATCCTATTCAAAGAAAGTGTCTTTGATTGCTGGTATGGAGACGGTTATGTGGTGTAGTGGTGCAAAGGATAGAATTTGACTTAACTCTGGTTCCTACTCTCCTAAGTGTTGATATAAGGGAAAACATGCCAAAGAAATTTTTCCAACAATTTTTCAGCCCCTAGACACCCACTCTGGGTTTTTCCACAGACATAGAAAAATCAATGTTCTAAAATTGGCACTTCTGTTTATATTTTCCCATAACCTCTAGAATTGATTTAGAAGTCTCCGTACCATGTAGATCTATAGACTCCAACTCAAATCATTTTTATGGGGCAGGGAATAAGATGCAAAACGCCATGGTTTTGCTGGTTCTGTTGACTTTCATTTTACTTTTGACCTATCATATAATTGGAATGCATAACTTACGTTTTCAGTGACAACCACTTACACAGTGTTTATTTTATCTTGAAATTATAAATTGTATAGAGTAAAATAAACATTGAATCATTGGTTAGATTCATGCCTCCCTTTCCCGTTTGTGAATTGCTTCTGCAGCACCACTGAATGATTTCAACATTAAGCCACATTTCATATTCTATCCTAGGAACCCATTACCATGTTTCAAACTCTCTCAAAATATGGGAAACTGAAATAATAATTACTCTAAAGTTGTGAAATAGCCACTGTAAGCTCTAATTATGGCTGCAATTGAGAATGGACATTCATGTTTATTAATAATTATTTATGTTAAGGGCTTTGTTTTGTTTTGTTTGCTACAACTTTTCAAATTTAGCTTATGTTCATAACTACAACTATAAAGCTGCTTGGTTATATTAAATAAATTGACTTCCTAAAAATTAAACAGTAAATATATTTTTAAAACTCATATTTTTATGTGTTCTAATTTTTGCTTCTTGACTCCCTTTTCTATATGGACAATGCTTATGGAATTAGAATAATAACTAGTGAATAATCTTTGTTATGTTTTATCTCTTTTGTTAAAATATATATGTGACAATCCTTCCTTCCTTCCTTTCTTCCTTCCTTCCTTTCTTCCTTCCTTCCTTCTTTCTGTCTTTCACTCAGGCTGGAATACAGTAGTGTGATCATAATTTATTCAGCCTCGACCTTGTGGTCTCAAGCAATCATCCTGCCTCAGCCTTCGACTAACTGGGACTACAGATGTGTAGCACCACACCATGTGACAATATTAGTAAAGTTTTCCATAGTGAGAGAAAGACACTTTAAAATATGTCCAGTTCATAATTAAACTTGCTATTTAAAATAAGTTTTTGCTACTTTTTTGCAGTGCTTAGAAACAAAACTCTTTATCTTTCAATATATTATACCCTAAAATATGTTTCAGTTTATGACAGAGATTTTATTCTCATTAATAAAAAAATACTATCCTCAAAAAAAGATTGAACATAAAGAAAACATTTTTACAGGCAAACAAAAAGGACGCCGATATGTGGACCTAAAATTAGAGATAATTGTATTTAAAAATATTAACATTAGGCTACATAGAAAGCTTACTCATCATTCTCTTGACATCATAATAATGGTTTATTGTCTTTAAAGACTGTGATCATATCTACTTAGACATGGTCATGAGCACTTTTTACAATGCAAACAACTGGTAATTTGAAGTTCCTGGGTTGTGATGGAGGTGTGTAGTCTATTCTTTACTCATTTGGCACAATGAAGTAATCAGCCCAGAGCAATAAATTATGTAATTAATCTCATGAAGCCAACAGTTTTATGTAAATGCTAGTGATTTATTTCTTTGCACATTTGAAAAGTTTAATTTCCATTTTTGCTCTGAAAATAGTTTTGAAGTAAATTGATATATTAAAATATATATCTAGCTTAATAAATTATTATAAATATAGTAGATATGCTAATGTTATTGTGTATCTTCAATCCATATTTTAAAGAGATGTACTTTAGTTATTATCTTTAATATATGCTTCACTTTGTATTTGAGAGAAAAATTTTATATATCATTTAAAGGCTCATGGCTAAGTGTTACCAGCAATCACAGAATGAATATGGATGGACATTTTGGGCAAATATGTTCCAATAAAAAAAAGAAACAAAATGTTGATGTATTAGTTTCATGGCATATTTTCGTCTTTTTTTTTTTTTGCTTTAGTAAATTCTTACTTGTCAAGAAAGTAACACAGACATATAGAGGTATTTCGTTTTGTCCAGTGCCTCCTAGCAGGGAAGCATGGGAGGAAAAAAGATGTCTTTGCATCTTTATTTTTTTATTTCAATAGGTTTTGGGGGAACAGGTGGTGTTTGCTTACATGAATAAGTTTGTACTGAATACCAGACTAGAAAAATTACTGAAGAAATGGGGCTGATAATATAAATACAGATAAATGGCAAAGTACTTTTAATTCCATTATGAATTCTGGTTAAATATCTCCATTTCTCCCATTAATGACAACTAGACAAGCTGGTCATTTTTAAAAAATCAATTTGATGCAGTCAGAGAAGAAACATAAAGAAGAATTTTTTTGTCCCAGGTCTACAAGATGTCCAGATAGAGAAGTGGCCAGTATCAGGTGCTGCTTTGTCCATGGCAGCCATTGCTTTTATTAGAAAAGGGGCTAAAAGGCTCAGAAAATGTTTTGAGATCTTCCCGTGTATAGACAGAAAGAGGTTGGAGACCAGGTCCTGTCCAGGTTTGGGGCTCTAATGGCACCACGGTGCAGGTAACACCTTGGACAGCTTGAACACAATGGATTGATATTTTCATGCTCTGGAGAAATAAATGTTATCCTAGAGCTCTATCAGCAGTGAGAAATGCCACTATATTTCATGAATGAAGGTTAAACAAGGACATATTTCATATACACATTAAGATGAACTATGAAGATTCAAGAAGGCATGATTAATTAGGTAAGAGGACTAATACTGATAGTATTGATAAGTAAAAATGCTAAAAATAATATACACCTACATACTATGAAAATACACAATAACACTAGCATATAAATCAGGAGGAAGTGAATTGTTTCAAAATGTCTTTCACAGTTGCCAAGAAGATAAAGGTGCTAAACTATAATAGACTTAGAAGAGTCAAGTATACATGTTTTAATCTCTAAAACTGCTAATGGAGTAGTAAAAAATATGAAGCTCTTAAGATAATGGAGTGGCAGGTGAAATAATTAAAATATTCAGCCATTCTAAAATACAGTAAGAAAAGACATAAAAAAGGTGATCAAGCAGATAGAAAAACTAAAAGAACATAACACATTTTAAAGCCACATGTTAATACTTATGTTAAATGCAAATAGACCAAATTTCCTAGTTAAAAAACACATATTTAAACTGAATAAACACATACACACACACACACACACACACACACACAGAGGGCAGTGAGATTATATATTTAAAGTATTGAAACAGAATAAAAATGCCAGCCAAGCCTACCACATCTAACAAAACTCTCCTACAAAAATGAGGGGGAAATTAAGAAATTCTCAGATAAACAAAAGCTGAGGGTATTCATTACTAAAAGACTTGCCCTACTAAAAAATAAAAATAAAAAAATTAAGTGGACCCTTTCATTTGAAATGAAAATATGCTAGACAGCAATACAGAAGTATAAGAAAACTTATATAAAATTCTCCAATAAAGGTAAATACATGGACAAATATGAAACTTGTATTATTGTAATTTTTGTTTATAACTCAATTTTCAGTTATTTTAAAAAATTTAACTACAAAAGCATAAAAATAACTTTAAATCCATATTAATTGATACACAATATATAAAGGTGCAGTTTGGGACATTAATAACATCAAGCAGGAGAGGGCAGAGCTATAAAGTAGTCATTTGTCTAGCTGGGCATGGTACACGCCTCTAGTCCCAGCTACTCGGAAGGCTGCAGTGGGATGATCACTTGAGCCTAGGAGACAGCCATGATTGTACCACTGCACTGAAGCTCAGGTGACAAAGTGAGACCCTGTCTCAAAAAAATAAATACATAAATTTTTTTGTGAGTTAGAAATTAAGCTGCTAACAGTTTAAAATAGATTGTTATACTTTTAAAATGTTTAATGTAATCCCTGTGACAGTTTGACGGTTACAAATTGAATATTTTAGGTAAGTTTGACATTTGAACTTCAGCTAATAATATAATAATTAAGTTCATTATTGAGTAATTTTAATAATTTTTGGAGATATTTTCTGAGACTCTTAAAGTGACAAATCTTGCACTAATTTTTTTGTATTAATTATTATGTTGATTATATTGCTTTATATTCAAATAAGCCCACTTTTACTCTTATTAATCCAGTAGGTATAATAGAAAAATTATTCATTGAGTCATTCATTTGTCTTAACAATATTCCTTCATATATTTTGAGCATAAAATATATTTTTGACATATATCATTGGTATAAAAATAATTTAGTGATGTTTTAAGATGAACTTATATATTTATTTACAATATTTTATGGTTCTGTGTTTACATCTACACTCACTTCCAGACACAGGACTACCTACATTCTATCTAATTTTCTTGTTTTTACAAGGTATCATTTTACTCAGTGTTTTAGAAATTGAATAGAAACTACAGTACTTATATTTTGGTCTAATTTTGATAGGCTTGTATTTATTATAAAATATCTTGAAAACAAATATGTCTTGAGAATGTATTTTTATATATAATGTTGTAAGTTTTCAAAAATAATTATGAGTTTTTTCACAGAAGCTTCTATTATGAAATATGGAATATGATTCACTTGTTAACATTAAATATATGTGTACAAACAAGGCTAACGACTTTAGTATTAAGAATATATTATTTGTGAGATATTGATTTAATAGCTCATTAAATATACAAATTATTCTGACTACATATATCACTGAAACTTATCTCCTTCTCAGGCCAAATAAATAAAATATTGCCCAAAACAGCTAAATAGTAAACTTGAATCTTTTAAAAACTTGACACATTGTGTATGAGTCTAGCTTAGACTTAAGAAATACAGAATATTTATTAAGGTATTTATAAATTTCTTCTCTACGGCTAAAATTCACAGGCATTTTTAAATATTTTACCCAGTGGGCTATCCCAGTCTTGCTTGTTATTATCCTTTCTGCAATTCAAACCTTAAATTCTGCCATTAAATAAAACAGTTTCATATTTGATGAAAAGTACTTTACATCCCTCTACAAAAGCTATTCAGTTATTCCATAGTGGTGATAGATTATAGTTTAAGAGCTTATCAAAGTGAATGGGCCATTTTATAGAATCTATTGTAATTTTTAGACTTTTAAGTATTTAGTTAAATTGTAACAATGTATTATTTAGAGTTGAAAGTGAAGAATTATTGATAAATGGAGACAATCCAACCTCAGATCTACCCTTAGCTTGTATCTGTTACATCTATATACTTCTCATCAGAAGTCAATTTAATTGATAAACAAGAGTATTTAATATCACCTCAGAGTCACATTCCATGTTTATTGTAACAGTGTGACTTTCGTAACATAATAAAACTCTTGAAGGCTTAGTTTTCCCATCTGTAAAATGGGATAAGTTCTACCCAGTTTTGGTGAGGATGTAAAAACCAAGATAGCTGTGGGTCTCTAAAGTATTAGGTATTGAAAAAATGAGAGTATTTCTCTCTCTCATCATTGTGAAAGTCAGTCATTGTATGTGTTTGTTTTCTGATATCACTAACACATCCCATAAGTAGAAAGGCAGGATCTTTTTTTTCTTCTTCTGATATATTTTTTTGCTTCAACCCCAGACATGGTCCCTGTCACCATCCACCTCGACTTCATGTATCTTCTGCTTCTACCCGTGTAACAAGTACATGTATGTAAATAATACTATTAATAACATTTGAAACTGTCTACGTTGTATGTAAAATGATGCCACAGGTTTTTAAATACTACAAAATCTGCAGCTCCAATTAATACATTAAAAAATGAAGAAAATTGTTTTAAATAATCAAATATTAGTACCTAAATGTTTCAGAGTCAGATTATGGAACAGCCTCAAAGAAATTACATTTGCTGAAATTCATTAGTTGATTATTAATTACATGTCTCCTTTTTGGGGACTCAGTATCAATGGTGAAGTTTAAAAACATATCTGGGTATCCAATTGGTCATGTGTGCACTAGCTAAAATAAACAGTTTTAGAGTTCAGCGTACTTGGGTTGAAATTTCATCCCAGTCTTGTATGTCCTGTATGACATTGGGAAAGTACTAAATCTCAGTTTTCCTATCTATAAAATGGTCTAGCAAAAACATGTATCTCAATGGGTTATTGTGAGGAAAAGAGTCAACAGGATAGTGGTATATGCAAAGAAAATATACGGTTGTTTGTTTGTTTGTTTGTTTTGAGAGGGAGTCTCGCTCTGTCGCCCAGGCTGGCGTGCAGTGGCGCGATCTCGACTTACTGCAAGCTCCGCCTCCCAGGGTCACGCCATTCTCCTGCCTCAGCCTTCCGAGTAGCTGGGACTACAGGCGCCCGCCACCACATCCGGCTAATTTTTTGTATTTTTGGTAGAGACGGGGTTTCACCGTGTTAGCCAGGGTGGTCTCGATTTCCTGACCTCGTGATCCGCCCGCCTCGGCCTCCCAAAGTGCTGGGATTACAGGCGTGAGCCACCGCGCCTGGCCATAAGTTTTAACTATATGTAATTTACTAAAGCCTTTTACTGAATCATCTGAATTTAAAAAAATAGCTTTATCTACATTAAAGTCTTATGAAAAATGTTATAGTCAAATTCGGACATCATAGAATTTAGCTAGCATAGTAGATGAAGTAAATAATAAAATCTAATAACAATAAAATCTACCTATAATTAATCCCTTGCAATGCGATAGACCTCTTAGTAAATCGAAGCATTTTTTTTCCCCTTTGGATTCTTTGTCAGACCAGTGCTAAACACCAGTGTATATTTTGGTGTTAACTTTGGTTATTACAATTGTTGCCTCTGCTGCATTTCTTTATAGCAAGCTTGAATTAAAAGTGCTTGAACATTGAAAAATTTTAACTGATGAGAAGATTCATATTTTATTCATCATGTGTTATAGGGTTTATATGAGACTGAACAAAATGCAGCTAGTGTTAAAATATTTAGTCATAAGGTAACATAAAAACTTTAAGTCACAATATTATTCTATGAAATATGCATGACTGTTATATTTAAGAAATATATATGGATTTTTAAAGTATGTATTTTCAGTTTTCTCTGACAGTGTTTTCATTTTCATTTTTTTTTCCAGATTGACTAGTACTTAAAACAACCTCAAAATACGTATATTTTCTCAAAAATAACTGCAAGAGTAATGGGCATTGAGATAGAAGGTTCTTATTCCTCTTTATTTAAATCTGTAAAGCAAAGTGGCAAATTAAAACTGAGATACTATTATATTCAATTCATAACATAATTTGATACAAATGAAAACTTTTTTTACAAGGTAACAAAGTAACTGAAAATGAGTAGATCCAGCGCAAGTGAGACAATGTAACCATCTTGAGGCATTAACCTAGGAGGCCACTGTTGTGAAAACAGAAAATGTGAGGAACACGAGGATTGACTTAACTATGGGGCTGCAAACTTAATATTTTAAGTCATGTTACTCATACACTAAGTATTGAGGTATTTTTATGTTTTTTTCAAAACTAAATAAGTTCACTGAAACTTAATCAGCCTGAATAGCCAGAATGTTTTAAATAGAGCATTGTAAATTTTGAGACATCATATTTTCTACTTTTTTTTTTTTTTGCTAGGGTCCCAAGTTTTGCTATATTCAGGCTCATGGTACAGTAGTTTTGTTGTGAGTTTACATTCCTAATTATTGTGTGTTATCATGATGCGTATTATTCCACTCATGATTTTCCCTATCCTCCTCCTCTTCAGCTATTTTTCTCTCCTAATATCATTAAAAAGCAAAAATTAAACAATTGAACATATAATAATAATTAATGCATCCATTACTAATAACTCCATCATCATCCAAACCATCTCTTGTTTTTTATGTTGTGTAAATAAAGTCATATAGATGCCTAAGAATGTCAAATGACTATGAATTAATTTATTTGCCTTTGAACAACAAAGTCCTAATGAAATCATGTCATTGTGAGAGAACATAGAAATACTCTCAAAGAAAGTATCACTTATTTTAATGTTTAAATACAAAACAGCTGAAAATAACTGTCTCAGTGAGTGATATTGTACTGGGAAAAGGACAATCAGATTCAGAGAAGTACTTTTATGTGTACTTTTTAATTTTTTTTTTCTGTGTTGTCATATAAATATATACACATACAGATATCTATATAGCAATTCTGGTAAAATTAGTGGATTTAAAATATGTGAGCATTTGATTATGTTATTTTAAAGTTGTGTATTCATTGTTCAAAATATAACAGTGATTATAATTGTGGTTAAATTAATTGTTGGTTTTAGCGGGTGTTGTATAATTTAGCATGGTACATGTAAGAATATTGGCAGGCTTTATACTGATATGATGAGCTATTTCTGTGGTAGAAGGAAGACGCACAGCCACAAGAATTGTAGAATTCTTTCTGAATTTTTTTTTTGTAAACTAATATAATCTATATTGCCATTATTTCTGTCCCTGTCCCAAAAAAATAATTCCAATAAACAAAGACCTGCAGGCGTCTGATCTTATCCAAAAACTGAAACACAATAAATGAGGTGATTAAACTAAAAGGCAAAGAAATATAGAAAACTAAATGAAGTGTATACTGATCTGAGATAATGCTGGTAACAACGTCAACATTCATACCATAAAATAAATACATGATTACTAAATAAATTTTAAAATAATTTCACCATATTTGTGAAAAATGTTGATTTGCTGTTTGGATAGATGTTGATTATAAAATGTAGACTGTGTCCAAATTATCAAAGAATGATTTAAAATATACAGTGATTCTGACCAGTTTATTGACTAATATGACTAGTTGCATATTCAATATCTTTTTTGAAACATTGTGTACATAGTAAAGATTTAAGAGAATCAAGGTTACGACTATTGACTCTAAAGCTATAGGGGAACAGTTTGCCAGACCTAATTGTCTTCAGGAACTGGTCTGAGCAAAAATTGAGATTTGATTCCTCTCATTTCTTCTTCCTCATTTCTTTATTGCTTTAATCTTTGTGATTTCTAATCACTTTTCTAAAATTTAAACAGACAAAATACATTTATGTATAATTAGAAGATAATATTCTTGCTTTTCAAATGTATCTGAGTCATGTATTTTATTACATATATTCAGATTATTTCTCTTATGGAAATTATATAATGAAATGGATGGAAACTTAATGTAGTGCAGACGTCTAGAAAATGAAATGAGTTATTTCATTTAATTGAAACGTTCATATGAACTTTTTGGAAACTGACAATTAAATGCATACTCACTGTGATTTTCACCGTCTTTTGATACATTCTGCCAGTTCTAAACCTTACCTGCATGTACGAGATAGTAGATAAGGACGGTTTCCTGCAGTCTCTTGATCTCAATTATCTTTTTCATTCCCTTTTCTTGAAGATTTAATTAGATCTCATTGTCTCCATCATCACTGTTAATTTCATATTTCCAAAAGTCAACTTTTTAGCTCCTCCTTATGTCATAACTGCACTTGGATATTCAGCTTAACACGATAAATATCAAAATCATTTACATATTTTAAAAATCACATTGCCGTGACCCTATTATCTTAATGATCCAACTAAAGTTCATGGGGAGAAATTCTGACCAGATCCCTATTTTAGTACCAGTTTTTCTACAAATTTTACTCTTAAAATTTCCTTCAGACCATGTTTCCTAGGTCCTGTTTCTCCATTCTATGGTTTCTTTTTCAAATTATTTGTGTAAATGCATTCGTGTTTACATAAATTTGTTTATCTTTCAAGACACAATAGGAGTTCTCTCTTTCTGGAAGCTATGTCGGAATTCTAAATTAATTTATGTTACCACATTTGTACTTTGCTAGTTCCTTTTGCATGTCTTTATCACAGCAATCGCCATATTACATTGACATACGGTTTTCAAGTATGTCATCACCAATGTATGAGTTGTTTAGCAGCCAACAGACAATCTGGAGTTCAGTAAAATTGGATGAAGTAAACTGAATTAGACAACAAATGTACTACGGCTCTATGGAGCCTGTCATTATTCCACTCAAGAAGTAAATCACTTTAAACTGTTCACTTTGTACTTGTCCCAAGCCCTCCAAATGTAATTTATTTTTTGAGAAACAATATTGATATTTAACCATTATTTTAATTAATCACTACTTGTTTAGGGAAATTGTACTATCAGTTGCTCTTGCAATAAAATTATTATACAGCATTACATCCTTTAAGAAAGCTTAATTTTATTCATATGTATCTTTTTTGTCACTTCTAAGAACTCATGTAGTGCCATAACTAAGTAAAAGACTGCGTATCCCACGCTTTCTCATTCTCTTTTCCCATCATACAATATTTAGTCCATTATTTAAGATGTTATTCATGAGTCACCTTTGATGAGAGGAGGTCTCTGATATTGATATTCTAATATACTCTGAACATATAAAAACATAAATCTGTAAGTTAGAATTAAATGATTAAATAGACATGTTTCTGAGGACTCAACATGGGAAATAATATTCCCTCTAACAAATAATTTTTACTTATAAAAATGATTAAACATGTAAGTCTTTAAAATTTTGGCGAATCCTCAGTATTTGGAAAAAGTAAACCTAACCAAAATGAAAGGATTAACACATTCCCTAGGAGATGGGTCTCTGCTTTTGAAGAAAGAGTAGCTTGAATTAACTTTAAATTGCTTTATTTCCCAGAGCTGGAATGTGGTCCCCAAACTAGGTTTTTAATTGGTTCCTGAAGCTCTTTTTTCTCAAATAAAATCATCAAACTCACTCTAAAATGGAATTTGAAACCACATTAGCCCAAGGCAGTAAAAAGCAAAACAAAACTTAAGTTCAAAGTTTTTTTTAATCTATTTTTACTTGTTGTGAAATCCCTAAAAATGAAAAATCAACATTGTTTAGTCTAATGTTTGTTTTTTTTTCTTGAGCGGTGACAATCACAGGAGGAAACTCCTTTTAATATAAGGCAACTTGTACTGAAAATATGTACGAGGTTTTTAAAACTAAGGGAAAACAATTCAAATATAAGTAAGAATTTTAAACATAGGCCAGGCGCGGTGGCTCAGGCATGTAATCCCAGCACTTTGGGAGGCCGAGGTGGGTGGATCACTTGAGGACAGGAGTTTGAGACCAGCCTGGCCAACATGGTGAAACCCCGTCTCTACTGAAAATACAAAAATTAGCCAGGCGTGGTTGTGCAGCTTTTAGTTCCAGCTACCCAAGAGGCTGAGGCAAGAGAATTGCTTGACCCCTGGATGTGGAGGTTGCAGTGAGCTGAGATCACGCCACTGCAGTCCAGCCTGGGCAACAGAGTTAGAATTCATCTCAAAACAAAAAGAAAAAAAAAAGAATTTTAAACATATTTGGCAGCAGCTTTACAATATTAAATTAAACAGATTAGTGGAAAGAGTAATTCTATTTTAGCATTTATTTTATCTATTACTTTCTCTTGCCATATGTGTATTGTGCCTGCCATGAAATAAGTCATTATTTAACTTAAAGAGGGTCAATGAGGTGTTGAAGATGGAGTTTTCTTCTTTTACTCTTAACAATGGGTATGTATAATTTGTTTAAAAGAAATTTAAACCTGCTTATTAAAACCAGAAAAAAACAGAGAATACTCTCCTAGCTCTCAGCATTTATGTATTGCACAAGGTTTATTCTATTACATTGGGTGTAAAACATTACCATGCACTGTTTTAGTCCATTGTAAAGTTTTAGTCCACTTCTCTACACACCACAAACCTTTTTGTTTCTTTTCTTCTTCTTTTTTTTTTTTTTTTTTTTGAGACAGAGTTTTGCTCTTGTTGCCCAGGCTGGAGTGCAATGGCGCAATCTCGGCTCACCACAACCTCCGCCTCCCAATTCAAATGATTCTCCTGCCTCAGCCTCCTGAGTAGCTGGGACTACAGGCATGCACCACCATGCCCAGCTAATTTTGTATTTTTAGTAGAGACGGGGTTTCTCCATATTGGTCAGGCTGGTCTTTAACTCCCGACTTCAGGTGATCTCCCCACCTCAGCCTCCCAAAGTGCTGGGATTACAGGCTTGAGCCACTGCGCCCAACCCACAAACCTCTTTCTGAATGATGCAAAAAGTGAAGTAAAGTTTTTACAGAGCCTAGCTAATATCATCCTTAATTTCTGGCCTTTTATCATTACTTATGCTTACTAATTAGCTATATTTTTTGTTTGTTTTAGAAAATTGAGGGTACTGTTCATGTTACTAAACTCTAAGCCATTCATAATGCTATTACTGCAGGACAACTAGACCATTTTAAACAGCAAAATCAACATCAAAGAGCATATATATATATATATATATATATATATATATATATATAAAGACAGAGAGAGAGAGACAGAGAGAGGGATTTTAAAAAATGGGGAAATTCAGAGAGTTGATTCTCACCAATTGTTATGGCCTCAAAGTCACTGTAAACACTACGTAACCAACACTAAGCTATTGCTCCTAAGGGAAATACAGGGTGAGGTTTCTGTGAGCCTCTGATCATAACATTTTTTAACCTGATAATCCATAACTTTGTTTTATGTGCATTTCTGTTTAATTTTTGGGAAAAAGCTAAGTGTTGGGAGAAGCTGAGGCAGGGCTTGCATGTCTGACATAATGTAAAAGAGTCTTGGAACATGTCCGGGGTCCAGGGTCTGAAACCCCTTGTGGCTTTTGGAACACCAAGCTTTGTGCTAAAGGATGGAAGGCTACCCTGATGTACCATAATCTCAGCCCAGGGCATAAAATCCCTTGTGGCTTGAGTAGAATCCAGGGCTCATGGCTCTGGAATGTGTCTAGATTTGCTTGCTCCTTGCTCTCCCAGGATCAATTGTATCTTGAGTTAAAAGAACCTGCTCTCTATTATCTCAAGTAGCAGAGCAAATGCTAAACCATCACAGCTGAAAATCATATGCTTAATACAACGCGTCCTTTTGACCTCCACATTCTCACCACCTGTTTCTCTGTTGGATTACCAATAAAGAGCATGGGCTCCCAGAGCTCAGGGCCTTCGCAGCCTCCATACACTAGTGATGGCCCTCTGGTCCCAGCTTTCTCTCTCAAACTGTCTTTTTCTCAATCCTTTGACTCTGTCGGACTTTGTCACTCCCATGACCTGGTGTCGGGTCTGATCACCCCAATATTTAATGACACCTTATTTGATACATATGGTGTATGCTTAAACTTTGAACTTATTATCAACAGTGCTGTAACTCATGTCTGAGCAAGCTTATTTAACACACGTATTTTTTCTGTAAGATGCATCACAGCCTTCCGGGTATGATGCATTCTTATGATTTTATGTTGCCTTAGTATCCATTCTGAATTTAGGTTTTACTTTCTCACAGCAGAATTGGGACTTAGTCACCCTTGACTCGGTTTCCAGTTCACCATTCCCTTCCGGTCCTTCCATGTGGTTGATCTAGATATCTGCCTTAAACATCTGCATCCAGGTGACCACTTTTCTATGGGATAGCTGGATACAACCTACTTGACAACCCCCACTGACCTCCACACCCCACACGGACTAAGCAGACATGCAGCAGTGCCCACCTCTCAGTCACAGAATGATTCCATGGAACTCAGGCCATCAATTAGAACTCTGAGAAAAACATGCTCGGGCAACACACCGGACTCCAATAGAGGCTTTGACCTACAGGGCCCTCACTTTCTCTTTTGCTCCCCACATGCTGGCAGAGCTTGTGTTTCCTGAATGGCTTCCCCCTTCCTGTTGAAACTGCAAGGCCTGCTGCCCTTTGCTCTCTGGGATCTGTAAGTAATCAACAGCTTCTGTTATTTCATGTGATTTATTGAGTTGCCTTCTCTAGGTCTCACCCATCTGACACACACAAACCTAACTTCTTTCCTGCTCAGGGCTGTCTTAGAGAGTGACTATCTTGGTAAGAATAAACTGGACACAGATCAGAGAATAGCCACAAGGGCATCTCCCAGTATCAACTTTTCTGTGAGAGGAACATCTTGTCATGGGTTGACATTTGGGTATCAGGCATTTGCCATAATAATTAAGAATCCTATGAAAGGCACACTGTAAACCATGCCCACATTCCCTGGAGCCGCATAAGGACAGGGTGAGAGTTTGTTGCCACTGTCCTGAAAGACCTCAAGACCAAATTATTAGAAAAAAAAATACAACACTTGAGCTTAGGAACACTAGACGGCACATCAGCGCTGCACTTCGGGACCATTTTAAACAGTGAAATCAACATCAAAGAGCATATAAATGTGAAAAATGTGACACTCAACAGGCCTCAAAAGCGACACTTCTTTGCAGTGCAAAAGTTAAAACAAGAAAGTAAATTGTCACCTTGCTCAGCCTCACCTGGAAAGATGCACATCAGACAATTCAAAGTTTTCACTGCTCTAAGCATGTCCACAAAAGACCATAAAAGTGATGTGAGCATTGGTTTGGACTTTGTACATAAATTGTAGTGAAGAGGCTATTTAGCCTACTGTCAAATACAAAGCCTCAAATACAGAAACATGAGAATAAGGAGAATAGACTCTCTCTCTCTTTATATATATATATGTGTGTGTATATAGGTGTGTATATATATATACACACACAAATGTACACATGTGCTATATACATACGTGTATATATAAAATAAAAAATATTTTCTGTATATGTATAGAAGCGTATGTGTATATATGTTTTTATTCATGCACATACATATAGGTGTGTAGTATTTGGAAATATGTATATGCATATGACTTGAAAATTTAGATGAAGGGGTGTAGAAGAGATTTAATTTTTTACAGTTTAACAATGCCTTCATAAATATACAGTAGTCCAGTAAACTTGGTATGAGCTTTACAAATATGTCATCTCATAATTGCCCTTTCAATAAATTGACATTCTCTATAGTTCTTAATATTTAGGACAATATTTACCTGAATTAAGAAAAACTTGTACATTCTGTAGAAGATTATACAACAGCAATCTCCCTATGTTCTTGGAACTTTAACAAGAAAGCATTTATAGAAAACCCACTTCCCCAAATGTAGAGTATATACTGTGTTAGGCTGAATGCTGATTCCCCCAAGGATACCCATGTCCTAATCCCCAAAATGTGTAAATATGCTGGGTTACATGGCAAGGAGAAATTAAATTTGCAGATAGAATGAGTTTGCTTATCAGTTGTTCTTAAGGTAGAGAGATATCATGGATTTCCTGTCTCTAATCTTCTCACTGTGCAAGAGTCAACTGTACATATATTTTCAGTTGATTCCCATGCAGCCAAAAATTCACTGTAACATTTGACTTCCCAAAGACTTAGCTACTAATAGCCTACTGTTCACCAGAAGTCTTACCAATAACGTAAATAGTTGATTAACACGTAGTTTGTATATTACACATATTCTATGCTGTATTCTCACAATAAAGTAAGCTGGAGAAGAAAACGATATCAAGAAAATCATAAAGAAAGAGGAAATATATTTACTATTTATTAAGTGGACCATCATACAGTTCTTTCTCCTGTCACCTTTAGCTGAGTAGGCTGAGGCAAACGAGGAAGAGGAGGGGTTGGTCTTGCTGTCTCAGGGGTGACAGAGGTGGAAGAAAATTCATATATAAGTAGATCCACATAGTTCAAACCTGTGGTTCAAGGGTCAACTGTAATTATAAAGGTCCTTAAAAATGGGATGGCTAAGCAGAAGAGGAAAGTCAGAAAAAGAGGTAAGATGACAAAACAGTTTCAGAGTAATATGATGTCAGGACTTAACCCTCCATTGCTGGCTTTGAAGATGGAGGATAGGGCCATAGACTAAGGAAGATGGACAGCTTCTAGAAGCTGGAAAAGGCAAGGAAATGGATTCATCCCTAGAGTCTCCAAAGGGAATGCAGCCCTGCTGATTTTAGCTCAGTGAGATTTCAGATTTCTGACCTGAAGAACTATAAGATAATAAACTTATAAGACAATAAATTTAGTTGTTTTAAGCCATTAAATTTGCAGTGATTTGTCACAGCAATAGAAAATTAGTACATCTCTTCACCCTCTGTTCTGTCTCTCTAGCTCTGTACATATAAATATGCTCATATATGCACATTGTACATATATTAAAATATAGAAAACATGTAAAATTTTTTTGAGATGGAGTCTAGCTCTGTCACCCAGGCTGGAGTGCAGTGGTGCGATCTTAGCTCACTGAAACCTCCTCCTCCTGGGTTCAAGGGATTCTACTGCCTCAGCCTCCTGAGTAGCTGGGACTACAGGTGCACACTACCCTGCCTGGCTAATTTTTATATTTTTAGTAGAGAGTGGTTTCACCGTGTTGGCCAGGCTGGTCTTCAACTCCTAACCTCCGGTGATCTGCCCGCTTTGGCCTCCCAAAGTGCTGGGATTACAGGTGTGAGCCACCGCTCCCAGCCATGTAATTTTTATGTGTAGTAAACAGATACATTAGCTACATTAGCTACCTGTTATTTGTACTACATATTAGCATGCCTTTTAATATTCTGATTCAGATAATTCTAAATAGTAACTCTACTCATATATGAACACATGCTTCCTTTCAACCTGTACTTCTTCAGTTTTATATTTTAGAGAAGAAAAGCCTGAGTTGGTTCCATGAAATGAGGAATAACCATTAATATTTGGCACATAACTTAAATTCAAGGAGATTTGAAATCTGGCTTTCTCAACAGCAAATTTGCTCCTCATACCAGTATTAGGCCTTCTATTCCCTGATCGAACTCCTTATTACAGAGAAGTCCATGAAACCTGTGTAAGGGAGGGAGGGGAAACTTACATTACTTCAAAAACTGACCTCAGAATTCTTCTCAGGAAAGGAGCTGTGTTCATTGAACATGTTTTGAGAGGACATTTGGAACAAGTAAGACTCTGAAGATGTGAGAAGAGAACAGGAACTTGAACAGTAAAGACAGATGGCATGGCTGTACTAAGTTAAAAATAGGAATAATGATGGAGAGATACCAAGCAACCATATTAGCAATTTCATTAAAGATATTATATCCCCATAGGACAATTTATTGTAAGACTGTGTTGCTTTGGTTGAATATAGTCTCAGTTTCTGAAAGTTGTGTTGTCTATAGCAGAAGGGGGCAGCCTCTGCCTCAGGGATTCTCTCTTCTAATCTCTCCACATCTACCACTCACTAACTTACAAGGGCCAAAGAGTTTTATTAATGTAACAGAAAATTGGAAGATAATTTTATTTAGAAGGAAGGAATTTTTACACACTGAGACTTGTCTTCTCTCTTCCCAATACCAGCCATTTCCCACTGGTTTTCTGTTGTTTGAAACATTTCAATTCAATGACTTGTATAGATCAAGGGTGCATTGCATTGGAAAGTTTTTATAATATTTTAATTTTTTCCATTTTGCTATTTATTTGGCCCTTAATTTTACATTTTGTAAGTATTTTCATCTTGCAAACATGTCTGAAAATATAACTTGGCCATTTTTAAATGCAGGTATTAGAGGAAACAATTATTTGCCTAGGTCTATAGAAAATTCTGAGGTTCTTCATGATGAAGAGCACCTCTAAGTTATTAACTAACCCCATGAACAAGAGACTGCAAAAAAGTTAGTCTTTACAATGAAAGCTATTTATCAATGACTTTTATATGTGCTGGTAATACATGTTATTGAAGTCCATTAAGAAATAACATGTAAATATGGCAATGGCTGCAGAAAAATTAAAATTCTCTAAACTATGTTTCATAACCAGTTGAGAAATGATGGAGATATTGGACTCTCAAAGTGAACAAAATAAAACCTTTGTTTACAAACTTCTATTCAGTGCAAATGATAAGGAAAAAAGTCATTTAGTAACAATAAAAATTATCATCTGAAATATAAAATTCATAATTTGTGAGAATCTAATAATTTTGCATGTGTAGCAACTAAAATGCTAGCAAAAGATGCAGTGTGAGAAAATGAAGAGTTTTACTCTCAAATAGTACTACATATTGAAGTATTGATGATAAGTTACATCCTATGAAGATGTTTTATAATACACAGGAAAAAAGCAAAGAACAAACCCAAACGTCTTACTCCATTTATTACATCCATTACAAAATACCTTAGATAGAGTAATTTATACATAATAGAAATTTATTTCTCCTAATTCTGGAACCTGGGAAGTTCAAGATCAAGATGCTGGCAGGTTTAGTGTCTGGCGAGGGCACCATTCCTCATTGATGGTGTCTTGTAGCTACATCCACATGTGGATGAAGGGCATAAAGCTGTATTCTTATGTGGTAGAAAAGCAAAATGGATAAAGGTGCAAAGACTGCCTCAGGTCTTTTTATCGGGGTGCTAATTCCATTCATAAGAGCAGAATCCTCATGATCCAATTACCTATTAAAATCCTCACCTCTAAATTCTGTTGCATTAAGGACTAAGTTTCAACATGTATTTTGAAGGTACACAACCATTCAAAGCAAACACCAAATTCCATAAAACATGTCAAGCTAAGCACTCAAATAATTTTTAAATAATGATGAATGTTAAAAAATATGCTTTCTTGTTACAAAGAGCTGGGCACAACAAGCACAAGACAAAATTATACTTAGATTTTTATTCATAGCTGAAAACAAAATTCATTCTTGGAGGTACTGTGTTGGCTTCTGTACTGACAGTGCATTACCAACCACTGGGTCTAAGGAGGATTATGCTTCTTGTAGAATCAAGCAAATCCTGCATCTTCCCAACAAACTGAATGCTTTGTCGAGAGGCACTTGTGCCAAAGACATTGGAGATTAAATGAAAAAAATATAGATAATGCTACAAAAAGTCATATGTATATTATTAAAGAAAAACAAGTACACCTGAGAATTTTTGAGGAAAAAAAAATGCCTGAATGTTTGAGAGAAACCTCCTGTACATGTAGAAATCCAATAGGTTACCAAAGGATCTGTTTTTCACAGGGTGTTCAGCTGAAAGTTGAAATGCGTGAATACATACAAGAAAAAATAAGCCACATTTTGCTGAGTGCTTTGATGATTAAAAAAAAAATGGCTGCAGAATTTAGCCCACATAACAGACATTTACCATCATATGATACAGTGGAACAAGCATCTGTAAGACTCTGGAGAAACATTTTTATAATATAATGAGATTTTTGGATTTTAAGCGAAATTGAATCTATGTGAAAATCAGGTTGCAAAACGAAATTTTGAAATGTTCCTATTGCTGCTTGGTATTCAGAGAGTAGGTGGCTATCAACAAGACATTAAGTCTTATTGTAAGAAAACTGGATGATTTGCCCAATGAAGTTATACAGTTTTTTTTCCCTTTCAACACAAAATATGCTTGGGTGGAAATTCTTTTCTCTGAATCTTCTGCTCAGCCTGAAAACTTGATTTTGATAGAAGAGGAAGAATTTTGCCTGGTGAGTAGCTAAAATAATATTTTGAGGTCTTTATGTTCTAATGCCAATATATGTCATCTAGAATTTTGTCTGTATTGATTATTTTTTTCTCTTGCAAATGGATCATGCTTTCCTATTTCTTGATACATTTCATAATTTTGAATTGGATTCTGGACATTTTGAATGTTATGATAGGGAGAATATGGGTTATCTTCTATTTCTCTTAAGAATGCTAATATTTTTCTATTTCATTTTAGCAGGCAATTGATTTGACAGTTAATCAAATAATAAAACTCTTATTTTCTGAAGTAGGTGGCAGATCAAATTTTCATCCTTTTTTTTTAGCTTTGGCGGACCTATGAGAAGGCCTGTGGGAAGTTGGCCCCATGCTTTTCTGGTTCAGGAGTGAGCTATATATTTGGGCAGAATTCATACACGGAATTCATAGATCCACTTCCCTGGCTCTCTCCTTTCTGGAATTTTTCCCTTTAGATTCCAGTGGCTGTGATTGCCGTAAATTCTGGCTTCTGGTGTTTTCAAAACGATGAGACTGTGAGTTTTTCTATTGAAATGTTAGCCTTCCTGTCAGATATAAATTTGGGCTATCTCATGATAAAAACAATGACATGAGTAAATCACTCTTCATCGTATCTTCATCCCTGTTTCCAAGTGTAACACTCCTTCCAGTGTCTGCTTTGTTTTTCCACAATCTTCCACTTTCAGGTACTTGTTTTTATATATTTATTTTTCTAAAAACTACAGTTATCTTTCTTTACTCAGTTTAAAATTACTGAAATCAACAGTAAAAATGTAAAACAATAAAAATCTGATCTTTCACATACCATATGTTAGAAAACATATTTCATTAGAATATTTTTAGTACAGGCCAGAGGCTGTGGCTTATGCCTATAATCCCAACACTTACGGGGGCCGAGGCCAGTGGATCACTTGAGACCGGAAGTTTGAGACCAACCTGGGCAACATGGTGAAACCTTGTTTTTATTAAAATTACCAAAAAAAAAAAATTGCCAGGCATAATGTTGTGTACCTGTGATCCCAGCTACTGGGGAGACTGAGGCACAAGACTAGTTTGAATCCAGAAGGCGGAGGTTGCAGTGAGACGAGATCATGCCACTGCACTTCAGCCTGGGTGACAGAGCGAGACTCTTGCCTCAAATATATATATATTTGAGGCAAGAGTCTCGCTATATATATATATATATATAGTTTATATATATATAGTTTATATATATACAGTGTGTGTGTATATAGTGTATATATATAGTTTATATATATATATAGTGTGTGTGTATATATATATATACATATATATATATGTAGAAATTAGTTATAGGATATTTAGGCCGAATAGAACACTACTCAGATAAAGCAAGGTATCAAGCAGAACTTTTTTTTTTAACTAAAACACTGTGGGAGGGTGAAGTTTTGTTTTGTTTTATTCCACACTAATGACTTGCCTTGCAGTCGATGTCCTTCTGAGAAAAGAGAACCAAATAGAAAAATCATATTTATAAATTGACCAAATAAATAAATCTGGAGGAAAATATTATCTACTTAAAAGATAATTGAAAATTGTTAATAGATTATCATGTCCTCAAGCATATATCATTTTTACATATTGTATGCTATAGATAGAATGTTCTTCTTTTACTGCAGAGATTTTCTGAGACCTGACCAGTTTTTAAAGTATCTCTCCAGGATTAAAAAATCATTCACTTTTGATCATTTGAAAATGACTTAAAGTTAATAAAGATCTATAAAATATCATTAAGTAGGACTGTGAGATGGCAATACTTTGGTTTTGATTATATAGAACTCAATACTTACTTGAGAAAACAAACACACAGAAAAATGATTAAATAGAAAAATCACCATTTTGGTACCACGGCAGTCCTGTTAAAAATGGGAAGTGTTGGCCTGGCACAGTGGCTCACGCCTGTAATCCCAGCACTTTGGGAGGATGAGGTGGGCGGATCACGAGGTCAGGAGATCGAAACCATCCTGGCTAACATGGTGAAACCCCACCTCTACTAAAAATACAAAAATTAGCTGGGTATGGTGGTGGGCGCCTGTAGTCCCAGCTACTTGGGAGGCTGAGGCAGGAGAATGGTGGGAAACCAGGAGGCGGAGCTTGCAGTGAGCAGATATTGTGCCACTGCACTCCAGCTTGGGCGACAGAGTGAGACTCCATCTCAAAAAAAAAAAAAAAGAAGTGTTAATTGACATGTGATGGGTATTTTCATTTTTTCATGTAGTTATTAGAATTTTTTTTTTTACATTTCAAAAAACTAACTTTCTTTTTACTAACATGTTTCGACAGTAAACCTACCTCATCAGTCTCTTTAACACAAACATGACAGCAATGCAACTGGAAGGTTTTGGAGATAATGATGCAGACCCATGGAATCGGATGTAGTTGGACTGGGGTGGGAGACACAGGTGTATTATTTATGCTTGCAAAGGAGTGGTGACAATTTACCATGGTACTAATACTTCCTGGCTTGAATTGAATATGTTTTGAAATATGAATGATTCATTTAAAGGCTGAAACATTTAACATTGACATCCAAGCAGCATTTCCTGAATTCCTGTTGGTACAGAAATAGAAAATATTATGAAATATCACTATCACATTATTGGGGTAACTTTCTTTTTTTGTATTTGTGGATTGATACTTCAAATAGAGTGCTGTAGATTGCGTTGAGTGCATGCAATTGATTTTGATACCCTTTACATTCCTAATTACAATGTTTAACTTGCCATGCGAGGCATATTTTATGCAAAAGAAAATATTTTTGTTTTACATAGGCATTAGTTTAAATAGTAGATTGACATTAAAAAAAGAAATATTCAAGCATAAAATGAATTTGAAAGTAATTTATATTAAAGATTCACAACACCATGTTATTCTTAAGTGCTAAAACAAATATTCTCTCATATTTTCCCGATGGCTAATATGGCTAACATATGGAGAACTAAAGCATTGATTTGACAATGACCCAAATAATGACGCAATTATAACCTTTTCAAGAATGATTTAAAACATATTCTAACCTTTTCATCATTTCATTTTTTACTATGAGAAGATCATTACTCAAAAGGGAAGGGAATGATTTTGTAGTTGGCTCTTGCTAAGAGTTATATTTCAGTTTCTCATTACAATGAAATGTAAAGCACAAGAGGAGGAGGATGGGGGAAACTCTACCACCTCCCCCCCTTGCAGTTTTTCATGTGTGATACTCAATATGGTTTAAAAATCTAAGAGAACAACCCATTTTGTTTCAGCCCCAAATCTGTCAACCTGTTGATGGGGCAAATGCACAATATATTTCATTGGAATGCTGCCACATGTAACATTTATTTGCAAAATGCAAGGAAGATTTTAAAGGAAAAACTTCATAACCTAGGAATTTAATTTAAAAATGCCGAGTGAACATTAAACTAGATGAAAATTGCAAACCTTGATCATGAAAATTAAATTATAACACTCCTTGATTTGTTGAACATAATAATGCTTATTGAAATGAGTCAAATGACATTTTTCTTGTAAAGGTCTTTCTGATATACAGCATTTGAAACTTCCTCCATTGTTCATGATCATTAATGCTTAATTTCAAAGATCATTTAATATGTACTTTGTAAGAAGTCTGGATATCGATTTTTAGGTTTTCTTGGCTTGATTGATTTGGTGAGCTGAAAGAAAGACACTGCTTCATCAGAATTCAAACAACAGAAAACATCTCCCAGGTGAATTTTCAATTCTATATAACTTGCTCATTTTTAAGGAAATGTAAAAATAGATCGTATAACTTTTGCTCATTTGCTTCCTAGGACAATTAACACTTTAATACCACTACTTATATTAAGACAAAACCATGCATTTTTTCTCTATTTTTATGTAATTCGACTTAAAACTGTATGTATTGAAGGCCTACAGTGAGTCAAGTTCAACTCCATTTTCCTAAGATACATCAATGAACCAAACAAAAACACCTCCTTTATGGAGCTTACATTCTAGAGGTGACAAGGAGACAGATAACAGTGCACCTAACTCACCCAGGATATGTTACATTTCAAAGCAATGAGCCTTCTGGAGCCAAAGCTAAAGTAAAGCAAGGAAAGGGCTTGCAGTTGTTGGTAGGGCCTGGGGGTGGGTTACCATTTATTTAGGCCCATAAGAGCAGGCCTCTTTTTGGTGATATTTGACAATAATGTTGAACGGCACATTTGGAGAGAGCTATGATGAGGCCAGTGTGGTTAGGGAAGAAGATGAATAAACCAGAGGAAAAGTCAAGATGTGGACAACTAAGGGCAGCATGATCACGTTGGTGGTTAAGTCATTATAAAGAATTATACTCAGACTGAAATAGGGAGCTACATAAAAGTTTTTAGCAAAGGAATGAAAAGATTTCATGTAGGTTTCTCCCCTCGCCCCCCTCCCTTTCCCTGCCCTCCTCTCCCTGTTTTTTGACAGAGTCTCGCTCTATTGCCCAGGCTGGAGTGCAGTGGCGTGATCTCTGCTCACTGCAACTTCAGCAACCCCCGCCTTTCGGGTTCGAGAGATTCTCCCACCTCAGCCTCCAGGGAAGCTGGGATTACAGGTGTGCACCAGCAGGCCTGGCTAATTTTTGTTTTTTGATTAGAGACTGAGTTTCAGTATGTTGGCCAGGCTGGTTTCAAACTCCTGACCTCAGTTATCCACCCACCTCAGCCTCTCAAAGTGCTGGGATTACAGGTGTGAGCCACCACACCCGGCTTGATTTCACCTAGGTTTCTAAACAAGATTTCTGGCTATCATCTAGGAAAATTATGAAAGACAGATAAGGATCAAATCAGTTCAGCTAATTATAAGGCTATTGCTTTAATTTAGACAAGAAATTATGGAAAATGTAGCAAGTCCAAATAGATACATCTACTTAAGGAAACATCCAAAAGCATATTTGAATAGGAGAATATCTTGTTTACATACTGATCATATCTAATATGCAAAGAGTTTTTATTACTTTAAATTGCAAGTTTTGAAAAACCCATTCACTTCTCTTATGTGATGAATCACTTTTGACAACACCCCTTTGACCTAAATAACTATATTTCAGTGTGACTTTATTTGATGGGCAGATTATATAAAATACTTTGAAACACACCACACTGGTACACAGTAAAATTAAAGAGGATAATTTAGCAGGGCTTAATTCATAACTCTGGTATTGCAAATTTCTTTTCATTTTATTCTTCCAAAACATGTTTCTTGGAGTTAGGCCTAATAGGTTGAGGAACAAATACAAAAATTAGGTGTGGGTCACAGGTCATTCCAGACTTGGTTTATCATCTTAAAGAGGATTTGAAAGATAAAATTCCCTTTACCACAGTTTCTTGTTATGGCATTCTTGTGCATGTCATGTTTAATAAGTTTCTGTCTTCTTGAAAACCTTTAAAATATTTTTTATAAATATCTAGTTGAGCACTCAGTCTTATTCTATCCAGTCATGATTCTAATCTGCACCTCTATGATTTCAAACCTTGTTATTCAATATCTTAGCTATTATACACTTTTTTATCTGCTAAGTGCAATAAGCCCCTATTTTCACATGAATTCTTACATCAACAGTTCAAGGAAATTGCATACATTAGAATGGTCCTTTCTCCTGAAAACTCATGGTATATTTACTATAAAGAAAATAATGTCATCATTCGAACTATTGCTAAATTTTTTACAAGATTACAAGTACATTATAATTAACAAAAAATTTGAGAAATCCTTTATAAAAATATAAAATTTTTTTAAAAATGTACAGGTTGCATTAGTAATTAACATTTATGGATAATTACTTGAAACATAATTTATATTTGACAAATCATGGTGCTGTAACTCAGAGACACACATTTTTGGGAAGGAAAACAAAACATAAGAAAATATCATAAATATCATCTGGAATGCAGAGCCCCCTCAGCTCCGCCACTAGCTAATAATACCTGCTTTCCTTAAGTACCTCTGAGATTCCCTCCAGTTCTCAGAATTCACTGCTAGCAACACTCTTTCTATTTCATTCCTATATATGTGTGCCAAAGGCCAACCTGAGTATATTTAGCTAAGTTCATTCTGATATTAGATCGTTATGATTAATACTGAGTGTCAACTTGATTGGATTGAAGGATGCAAAGTATTGATCCTGGGTGTGTCTGTGAGGGTGTTGCCACAGGATATTAACATTTGAGTCAGTGGCTGGGAAAGGTAGACCCACCCTTAATCTGGGTGGGCACCATCTAATCTGCTGCCAGCATGGCTAGAATTTAAACGGGCAGAAAAATGTGAAAAGAGAGACTGGCCTAGCCTCCCAGCCTATATCTTTCTGCGATGCTGGATGCTTTCTGCCCTCAAACATTGGACTCAAATTCTTCAGTTTTGGAACTCGGACTGGCTCTCCTTGCTCCTTAACCTGCAGACTGCCTATTGTGGGACTTTGTGATCATATGAGTTAATACTTACTATTATATATACACATATATATATATTTATATATGTGTATATATACACACACACATATATATATACACATATATAGTTCTGTCCTTCTAGATATATTAGCTGTGTCCCTCTACAGAACCCTGACTAATTCACAGATAAAGAGTAATATGTGAATAAACATAAATCAGTATATCACATTTTATTGTGTTTCCCTTTACTGCGCTTTACAAAAATTGCATTTCTTTAAAAATTGAGGGTTTGTGGTAACCCAGCATGAAGCAAGACTATCAGTACCATTTTTCCAATAGCAACGGTTCACTTCTGTGTCTCTGCATTACACTTTGGTAATTCTCACAATATTTCAAACTTTTTTTCTACATTATATCAGTTATGTTGATGTGTGATCAGAGATTTTCGATGTTACTCTTGTCATTGATTGGGGGGACACAAACCATATAAGATGGCAAACTTATTTGATAGACATTATGTGTGTTCTGACTGCTCCACCAACAGCCATCCCATTTCTCCATTCCTCTTCTTGGTCTTCCCTACTCCCTAAGACATAACAATATTAAAATTATAACAATCACTCTACAATGGCCCTGAAATATTCAAGTGAAAAGAAGGACCATACATCTTTCACGTTAAATTAAAAGCTAGAAATCATTAAGTTTAGTGAGGAAACCATCCTCACTAAAATGGAAATTATCCTATTTGAAAAGAAGTTTGACTACAGGTAAAATGCTATCAAACAGAATCAAGTGCTACAGATAAATCTTTCATTAAGGGAAAAACAATGTGACAAACATCATTGTTGTCTTATGTTAAGACATTGCCACAGCTACTCCAACCTTCATTACCCACCACTCTGATCAGTCAACAGTCATCAATATGGAAGCAAGACATTCTACCAGCAAAAAGATTCTGACTCGCTGAAGCTCCCATGGTTTAACAAATCATTTTAAAGTAAGGTATATACATAGCTTTGTAGACATAATGCTATTGCACACTTAATAAACTACAGTATAGTGTAAACATAATTTTTTATGCACTGGGAAGCCAAAAATTTTGTGTGACTCACTTTAATGCAATATTTGATTTATTGCTATGGCCTAGAACTAAATCTGTAATATCTCTGAGGTACGCCTGTAATCAAGGGGATAAGTTATTTATCAACTCTTATACATCATACAACCTCCTGACTAAAAAAAACTAACAAAACACAATACTTAATATTAGGGAAAAAATAAAGAAATTTATTATGAAATTCAATCATCACTCATATTCTAAATGCCTGCTCCTTGAAAAAGCTTTTGATAAGTCACACTTTCCATTTCTAGGACTTTGCAATTTATTGAGATAAAAATCTATGAAGAGATAAACAGCTCATTTAACTAGAACACAGACAATGAGGGAGGGGAAGTGGCAGTTAGTATCATAATGCTCTAGACTTTAATAGAGAGTTATTAAATCTTTGTTCATAGGATATGTCTTTCATTTTACTAAATGGCTCTCTGTAAACCTGGCAAAATGAATGATTTGCCAGATATTGTGAAAAGGGTAGAACTAGGGTATTTTATAAAGTATAAGTTCAATCTATTTGCCTGGCTCTCATTGCTTATAAGCCAGTCTACTGAAGGCTTATCAGCTACATTATAATGATTTTAAAAGCAAAGCAGTTATGAATTTTCTACATTCCATGTCCTTGTATCCCTAACCAGAAGTTATTGAGAGGGCAGAGATAGCAAAACATCATGCTATTGAATAGCAAGTACTGCTTCTGTAATACCTATAATAACTGGACCTTGGTTTATAAAATTCAAACAAATTACTTAGAAATATATTTTTATTTTAATCTTATTTTATTTTTTGGGGACAGACTCTCACCCTGTCACACAGGCTGGAGTGCAGTGGCATGAAACTCAACTCACTAAAACCTTTGCCTCCCAGGCTCAAATGATTCTCCTGCCTCAGCCTCCCGAGTAGCTGGGACCACAGGTGCACATCAGGCCTGGCTGTTTTATTTTTTATTTTTGTAGAGACAGGGCTTTGCCATGTTGCCCAAGCTGGTCTCGAACTCTCTGCCCATCTTGGCCTCCCAAAGTACTGTGATAAGAGTCAGGAGCCACCACACCTGGCCAGAAACATATACATGTATATATATATTTTTTTCTTTTTTTAAAGTTATACTTTAAATTTTGGAGTACATGTGCAGAATGTGCAGATTTGTTACATAGGTATACACATGCCATGGTGGTTTGCTGCACCCATCAACCTGTCATCTACATTAGGTAATTCTCCTAACACTATCCCTCCCCTAGCCACCCACCCCCTGACAGGCCCCGGTGTGTGATGTTCCCCTCTCTGTGTCCATGTGTTCTCATTGTTCAACTCCAACTTATGAGTGAGAACATGCAGTTTTTGGTTTTCTGTTCTTGTGTTAGTTTGCTAAGAGTGATGGTTTCCAGCTTCATCCATGTCCCTGAAAAGGACATGAACTCATCCCTTTTTATGGCTGCATAGTATTCCATGGTGTATATGTGCCACATTTTCTTTATCCAGTCTATCATTGATGGACATTTGGCTTGCTTCCAAGTCTTTGCTATTGTGAACAGTGCAACAATAAACATACGTGTGCATGTATTTTTATAGTAGAATGATTTATAATCCTTTGGGTATATACTCAGTAATGGGATTGCTGGGTCAAATGGTATTTCTGGTTCTAAATTCTTGAGGAATTGCCACACTGTCTTCCACAATGGTTGAACAGAAATATATTTTTTAAATAAACATAAATACTTTGGAACTAGCCTGAAAAGTTAGTTACCTTGTACACAAATCAGCAAAATTTTCTTTCATAAAAATATTTTATATTAAAAGCCAAGCCATTCACTAATGTCAGACAAATCACTGCCCCCTTGGTGACTACAGTACCTTTTGATTTTATTAATTCTTTACTGATTCCAATTAATAAAGATAAATCTGAGAAGGAAATTATATGATGTTTCATTTTGAGAATCTGAGTTACATTTAGAACTAAAGAAGAAATGAAGGAAGTCCATATTTCTGCAATTATTCCCTCTGGTTGCCTCTATTCCAAAGACAAGGACCGCTCCCAAGACCACACTATGAATTAGGCTGAGAATAACAGCTAAACTGAACTAACAGGATCCTAGCGAAGATAGACCTAGGTAATCAAAAATCACTTGGGGAATAGTTGAGAATGAGGATCAGATATTGAGGGGGTTCAGATGTCAAGGATAGGGGATTCTTGCTAACCTGACTTAGCAGTGTCCTTGCTAACATTGGATTTTACAGAAGAGTGCACAAATGGACCTAGGAGAAGGATCAGGAGCCTAATTAGTGTGGTCAAGCAAAGAGTCTGTCACCTCCAAACCCCGTGTTCTGTTTTCCCTTTCTTCCAAACTGTGAATCTGTCATCCATAAGAATGTCATCCGTAAGAATCTTACATATACCCTTAAACCCTTTGCCCTTATCGTCTTTTTTTTTTTTTTTTTTTTGTGTGTGTGTAGATGGAGTCTCGCTCTGTCGCCCAGGTTGGAGTGCAGAGGCCCAACCTCGGCTCACCGCAACCTCTGCCTCCCGGGTTCAAGGGATTCTCCTGCCTCAAACCCCTGAGTAGCTGGGACTACAGGTGCATGTCATCATGCCCAGCTACTTTTTGTATTTTTAGTAGAGATAGGGTTTCACCATATTGGCCAGGCTGGTCTCGAACTCCCAACCTCGTGATCCGCCTGCCTCGGCCTCCCAAAGTGCTGGGATTACAGGTGTGAGCCACCATGCCCGGCCTCGTTCTTTATACTATATGCCTACATAACTGCAACCATGATTGATCTAACACTTCTAACTTTTCTAGTGTCTGCAGGTGGCTGAGGAAGAAAGTTAAATAATATTACTTCAAATTTATACATATTTTATCACTGACTTCTGGGACTCCACATTATATTATCTCCCTTATTTGTACGATTCATCTCTATTTTGTATTTCTTGATAGTTTTCCTAATCTTCCTATTCTCTAAATAATGGGATGATACAGGGATCAATACTTAGAAATGAATGCTTCATGCAAGTTTCTACAAAGGTTTTTCCATCTAAGCATATGACAACACCTTTCTTGTGCTTGCAAAATCTTTGGCATCCCTATCCACATCCAATCTATCCACAAATTGTCCCAGTTTTATCTTGAAAATGTACCTAATATTTAACCACTCACTCATTAACAAGTATTCAAACACCAAGTCAACCTTACCTTTCAATTGGGTCTCTGCAGTAACATATTAACTGAGTCCTACTTCCTAATGTTGTACCTGAGCGAGTTAGAGAAAACACCACACTTTGAGACAAATTAAGAGTCCATTTATTTAGCCGGCGGCCAAGAGACGGCTAACGCTCAAAATTCTCTTGGCCCCGAAGAAGGGGCTAGATTTTCTTTTATACTTTGGTTTAGAAAGGGGAGGGGGGCCTAGTTAAAACAATTTTACAGAAATAAAGTAGGCAAAAAGTTAAAAGGATAAATGGTTACAGGAAAGTAAACAGTTCCAGGTGCAGGGGCTTTAAGACTATTACAAGGTGATAGACTCGGGGCTTTGGGCGTTATCAATCAGACGAATTCCTGGGAATTGCAGATGTAGCTTGCCACAGTATCTTTATCAGTTAATTGCATTCTTGGATGTGCTGGGAGTCAGCTTGCACAAATTAAGTCCTTGAGGAAGGGGCTGCCAGTGACAGAGCCAAGATGGAGTCTGTCTGGCTGTCTTAGCTAAGGGAGAGTCAATTCAGGTGGAAACAAGGCTAGGTGATTAAAGGAAAAGGGAGAGTCTAAAAACAGGGTTAGTAAAAACAAGGTTGGGCATTACACTTATCTCTTACCAATGTCATGTTCTATATACAACGTCTGAACCATCCTTTCTAACGGCCCCTCCCAGTGTTTTCCTATTTCTCTTGGAGTAAAATTCAAAGTCTTAGTTCAATATGTCATCAAATATACCTCCCAACCTGGAATATTCTCCCACCAGATATTTGCATGGCTTCCTTCAGGCATCTGCCTAAACATATCTGATATGATTAGGCCTACTGGCCCTGCACAAATCTCATCTTGAATTATCATCCCCCTAATCCCCATGATCCCCACGTGTCAAGGGAGAGACCAGGTGGAGATAATTGGATCATGGGGGCGGTTTCCCCCATGCTGTTCTCATGATAGGGACTGAGTTCTCATGAGGTCTGACGGTTTTGTAAGTGTTTGGTAGTTCTTCCTGCATTCATTCTCCTTCCTGCCGCCTTGTGAAGAAGGTGCCTTGCTTCCCCTTTTCCTTCCCCAATGATTGTAAGTTTCCTGAGGCCTCTGCAGCCATGCTGAGCTGTGAGTCAATTAAACCTCTTTCCTTTATAAATTACCTAGTCTCAGGCAGTTCTTTATAGCAGTGTGAAAATGGACTAATACAATATTTGTGTCAGAGAGTTTACCACTGATCACCCTATATAAAATGACGGATCCTCCTACTCACTGATAGCATTTGCCATTCCCTTCCTTATTTTTTTTTAATTATTACTACATAATATTGTGATTATAGATTCTATATAACTAATTAAATTGAATGACGAGTTGAGCATCTCTAACCTGAAATTTAAAACGCTCCGAATTTCAAAACTTTCTGAGCGGTGACATGATGTCGCAAGTGAAAAATTTCACACCTGACCTCATGTGATGGGTCTGTCAAAAGACAGTCAATATTTTGTTTCATGCACAAAATTATTTAAGACATTGTATAAATTATGTCCAGGCTATGTGTTTTAGGTGATACGAAACATAAGTGAGTTTCCTCTTTAGACATGGGTCCCATCTCCAAGATATCTCACTATGTATATACTAACATTTCAAAAGCCTAAAGAAATTTAGAATCTGAAACACACTTGGTCTGAACCATTTTGGATAAGGGAAATTCAACCTGTATTTGTTTACTTTTGTCTATAACCTTGAGAATGTAAGGCCTCCTAACGTTAGTTCTTATTTTTATTGTTAGTGTTAATTAAAGCTTCATTTAAAAAAAAAAAAACACAGACTCTTCCAAGTTGTTGTGGCCAGATCCTAGAAGTGGCTCCCAGGGTGTTCGTATCATCTAGAATATTCTCCATCTGAGTGTGAGCAGGACCTGTGACTTGCTTCTTGTCAATAGAATATGACAAAGAGAAAGGATTTTGCAGATGTAATTAAGTTTTACAAATCAGTTTATGCTGTGAATCATAAAGGGGATTATCCTAGGTAGGTCTAATATAATCAGGTTTAAGCTCCTAAGAGAGGAATTGGACCCTCTTTAAGGTGACAAATCTTTATGCTGTCTTAATGAAGAAAGTGGTCATGTTAAAGAAGCCCAAATGGCAAGAAATTATAAGTAACTTCTAAGAACTGTGAGCAGTCCCTAGCCATCAGCCAACAAAATGCTAGAGCCTTCAGTAATTGCACAGCCACCAGGAAATAGATTCTACCAATGACCTGAAGTTTAGATGTAGATTGATCCCCAGTTGAACCTCTAGCTGAGAATGAACTCTGGGTGGACCCTCAGTTGCAGGTTTATATGATTCCCAGTGGAATATCCAGCTAAATTATATCCAGATTTCTGACCTACAGAAACTATGAGGCAGGGCACAGTGGCTCATGCCTGTAATCCCAGCACTTTGGGAGGCTGAGCTGGGTGGATCACCTGAGGTCAGGAGTTCAAGACCAGGCTGGCCAACATGGCAAAACCTGTCTCTACCAAAAATACAAAAATTAGTCAGGCATGGTGGCACGCCCCTGTAATCCCAGCTACTCAGGAGGCTGAGGCAGTAGAATCGCTTGAACCTAGGAGGCAGAGGTTGCAATGAGCTGAGATGGCACCACTGCACTCCAGCCTGGCGACAGAGTGAGACTCCGTCTCAAAAAAAAAAAAAAAAAAAAAAAAAAGAAACTATGAGATAATATATGCATATATTTATAAGCTGCTGAGATTGTACAACTTTGTAACATGTCAATGTGGTATATATAATACTAACATGACAGCATCATGCATTATAATTATTTTTAAATGCATGTGAATCCCTTAGGTAAAAGGACTGTTATATTTTTCTTTACCCCAGGCTCAATTCTAACATTTTAAGATGTATAATACTTGATCATTGAATAAACGGATGGATGAATGACTGAATAAATTGACAAAGTAGCTCTTCTTTCAATCAGGTGCAGGAAGGAAGGACAAGCACAGAAATCTTCTTCTTAAAATTGATTGGAAGAAATAGAGCAAGTAAATAGTAATGATAGTTATTTATTCATTTGCAGTTCAAAAATATTTTAAGATAATACCATTTCACTGAAGCCTTACAACTATTTTGAATAAGAGATGATCATGTATATATTAGTCATTATAAATTTGAATCCGTGTAAATGCTCTGAGATTCAAATTAGCACAAGATCGGTCACACACATGCAATTATGGAGCACTACAATTATTTCTTTTGACCTGGGATCACAAGCACTATTTGCTACATCACTTTGTCTATTATCACAGTATTAATTACACTGGTTATATAGGGAATATTAACAAAATATTCACTTGGCTGATATCAATGTTCATGTGCTAGTAAGATTTGTTCAATTTATTGGCATCAAAGCAGAAAACGTCTTGTTAGGAAAGTCAAGACACATATGAAATTAAGAGGTTAAAGGGCACTAGATACTCTTATCACAAACGCAGTTGCCTCTGCCCCAAACCTTGCCTTTTTGTCAATGTGAGTAATTAGTGCTTCTAACTACATTTAATAATGTTCAATATTTTAGGAACACTAATTAACCCACACAACATTGTCTCATCTGCATTTTATAAGTTGAAGAAACTAAAGCAGATAAAGGTTAAGAACCTAACCCAGGGTCACAACACATTAGTAGGACAGTAAAGATTACTGTTCCAGACCTCTTAAAATTCCTTTTGCAAAAGGAACCTGGAGTCATCTTCTTGCCGTGAACACTTTGCTGCTTGCAATTCCTATAGTGTTGCAAAGAGTTGTTGCTAATTCCTATTGATAAGCCAAGTAGCATTAGAGTCTTCATCTGTCATCTCACATTAAGCTGCCCCCCAAGTTCTTGGCAGGAGCCCTAGACCAGCTATACTAGGCCTTCATTTCTAGCCATGTTCTCTTGCAGCATTCACAGTGGAAGCATTTTTTGTAAAACCTGCACTGAAAGAATTTAGAAGACTACATTGTTTGGATGTCCTCTTTGGTCCCCCTTGTGGTTTTCTGTTTTTCTTTCCTTCCCCTTCATATGTCCTATCTCTATGAAGTAAATATTATCCGCCTAAGTTCCCTACAAACTTTCCTGTTATTCCCAATCTTCTACTTATGATTTTAGCTCTTCATCATAACCATCAAACCCATTATTATTATTATTATTATTATTATTTGAGATGGAGTCTTGCTCTGTCACCCAGGCTGGAGTGCAGTGGTGCGATCTCGGTTTACTGCAACCTCTGCCTCCCAGGTTCAAGTGATTCTCCTGCCTCAGCTTCCCAAGTAGGTGGGACTACAGGCTTGTGTCACCACACCCAGCTAATTTTTTTGTGTTTTTAGTAGAGACGGGGTTTCACCATGTCAGTCAGGCTGGTTTCGAACTCCTGACCTCAAATGATCCACCCACCTTGGCCTTCCAAAGTGCTGGGATTACAGGTGTGAGCCACCATGCCTGGCACCCCATTATGTTTTTAGCAGTGTCGGTATCCACATAGATAATCTGATCAATACTTATCACCATTTTTTGCTAGCCACACATCAGCAAATTACTCATTTTACTTATACTCCAAGCCTTCCTTGGAGGTAAAAACTTAGTTTCACTACCTCTTAAATCTCATTTCTATCTATCATCATCCAAGAATCACTTCCCATCTTTCCAAGTTACACACTTTAGTATAATAACTGAATAAAGTATTTACCTCTACAATTATTTTAATCCAGGGTCCTCAACACTTCACTTTCCATGACCCCTCTCTGTCCTGGTTGGCATTCCACTAAAGGAGACACTGCAATCTAAGTGCTTGGGTGTGTGTGGTTTATTTCTGAGGTGATTTCAAGAAGAAAAACTCAGGATGTGGGAAAAGTGAATTAAAGAAGAGAAGAAGCAAACACAGTGTGCAATAATAATCCATGTATTACAATAGACAAATGCAGCACAAGCTTCCTGAAGATCCACTGTGGAACTATGCAAGACACACTTTAGAATTTTCCATAGAAGAGTGTAGAAGTTGGTGAATTTACTCAATGACTCCACAATTTCATTGGTTGAGATTTGTATGGGGGCTCAATTCTTGTTGTCAGGTGATAAATATTGTGAATATAAGCTGAGAAAAATATTTAAGTGTTAGAAAAAGCCTTGACCATGAGCAGTGGCTCATGCCTGTAATCTCAGCACTTTGGGAGGCTGAGGCAAGCAGATCATGAGGTCAGGAGTTGGAGACCATTCTGGCCAAAGTAGTGAAACCTTGTCTCAACTAAAAATACAAAAGAAATTAGCCGGCTGTGGTGGTGGGCACTTGTAATCCCAGCTACTTGGGAGGCTGAGGCCTCCCGTTTGAACCAGGGAGGCAAAGATTGCAGTGAGCTGAGATCATGCCATTGCACTCCAGCCCTGGGCAACAGGTGTGAGACTCCGTCTCAAAAAAAAAAAAAAAAAGAGAGAGAGAGAAAGCCTTAAGGCAGATAAGGCAGATAAGCTGAGAACCAGTGGCACTTGAGGAAGGAAACTATCAGCACACATGTGAACGGTTTACTGCCCCTGTAGTTATAAGTTGTAGTCAAATGAAGGAACATGAGGTAGAGACATGACACCCCTCAGATTTTCATCTTATTACCTGGCATAGGTTGCACAGAGCAGATCTCTCAACACTGACTTGATTCACTGTTGAGTTCTTCTGTTGAGTCATCCTTCTCTTGTACTCCTCTGTAAGAAACTCAGAGGAGTAAACTTACAGATCAATTTTCCGGAATTACACCCCAAATAGCTGATTATTGCCAAATACCTGATGACGATTGGATGGATTTCAAATTTAGGATGAATCACATTTTGAAATTTTAACTTCATAAACCTAGACAATTATCTGACAGTTTCCTCATATGTAACTTTTCCTATTTCCCAGAAGAATGTTTCATGCCTCATGCCCAGTTATTACCTCACACCACAGTTCACAGACAAAGCATGTAGACCCAGCCTATGTGCCTCCAAACTCATATAATCAAACACATCTTCTATTACTCAGAGAAGTAGCCCTCCTCGATTTAAATCCAGACATTCCACCAACCTCTGGATTCATCCCTTCTTTCCTTTCATGGACCTCAGTTTTGCAGTCATTATCTATTTTTTTGTCCATAGTCATATACACATCCTGAATATCCCCCATTTAAATAGCAAAATAAAATACACAAAAGTACATTGAATGCACATAGATGTCTGGCTATCTCCTCATTTGGCTCGACTTTTTACAACAAAACTTAGAATAACAGCTATGAATATGTACGATTTCCATTTCCACATATTCTCTATCACAACAAATCCAACTTTGACGTCATAAACACTAAAATATCTCTTAACCAGCTCTTAAATATTTTAAAATTTTGCCAGAACCTGTAATCAGTATTTATCCTTGACTTCATAGTGGCATTGGACATAATCAACCCATTTTTCTTGAAACATGTTTCCTTTAGCTTTCATTGAGTCCCACTCATTTAGGTGGTTTTGTTGTTGTTGTTATTATTTTGGTGGAGGGTCGGGGGAGATGTTTTTGCATTTGTGGTTATTTTCTGGCTTTCCCCCATGGTCACACAGAATACTTTTTAGTCTCCTTTGATGAACCTTTTCACTCTGTCATGCTGTTAGGGTGCCACAGGGCTGAGCCCTAAGCCCTCTCCACTACTCCATCTTTACCGTCTCCTCAGATAAAATGATCCAGTCTTTGAGACTTATGAAATATTTTCTTATGACTCCCATTTCTCTCTCCAACTCCATTTCCTCCTCTAAGTTCCAGACATTTACAAATCTAACAGCTTGTTCTTTTCCACTTGTATATGTAACAACTCCCCAAACCTAAACTCTCTCCTGGCCAAGTCTTCTTCATTTCAGTTAAAGATTCTGTGTGTGCATGTGTGTTTGTGTGTGTGTAAATAAAACATATTCATATAATAAAATATAGGGGTTATTAATGTAAGCAGAAACAAAGGGAAATAATAGAACAAATCTTTTTAAAAATCATATCTTTTTAAATTGACAAAAATTGTATATATTTATTGTGTATGATGTGATGTTTTGAAATATTTGTGTATTGTGGAATGACTGAATCAAGTTATTTAACACATGCATTACCTCACATAGCTTTTTGGGGCAAAGCACTTAAAATCTACTCTCAGCAATTTTCAAGCATAAAATACATTGTTATTAACTATAGTCGCCATATTATAAAATACGTTGCTTGAATGTTTCCTTCTGTCTAACTCAAAATTTGAATCCTTGGTACTACATCCCCCCAACTAGTGCGTAAACCCAGTCCCTGGTAAATGCTATTCTACTTTCTACTTTTATGTGTTTGACATTTTGGGATTCTACATATGAGTGAGATCATGTGGTATTTTTCTTTCTGTGCCTGGATTATTTCAACTAACATAATGTTTAATGATGCAATTTGTTATTGCAAATGACAGGACTTCATTATTTTTATGGCTAAAGAATATTCCATTGCGTATATATACCACGTTTTCTTTTGTTCATCCACTGCTGGACAACTAAGTAAATTCTATAACTTGGCTATTGTGAATAATGTTGCAATAAACAAGGGAGCACAGATTTCCCTTTGATATACTTATTTCCTTTCTTTTGGGTATACATATATATATTTGGATCATATGATAGTTTTACTTTTAGGTTTTTGAAGAACCTCTATAGTGTTTTTCACTATGGTTGTAAAAGAGTTCCCTTTTCAGCCTGGCGCGGTGTCTCACGCCTGTAATCCCAGTACTTTGGGAGGCCGAGGCGGGCAGATCATGAGGTCAGGAGATAGAGACCATCCTGGCTAACACGGTGAAACCCCGTCTCTACTAAAAATACAAAAAAATTTAGTCGGGCGTGGTGGCGGGCGCCTATAGTCCCAGCTACTCGGGAGGCTGAGGCAGGAGAATGGCGTGAACCCGGGAGGGGGAGCTTGCAGTGAGCCGAGATCGTGCCACTGCACTCCAGCCTGGGCGACAGAGCGAAACTCTGTCTCAAAAAAAAAAAAAAAAAAAGAGTTCCCTTTTCTTCACATCCTCTCTTAACACTTGTTATTTTTTGTCTTTTTGATAATAGCCATTCTAAGAGGTGTGAGGTGTTACCTCATCGTGATTGTAATTGAATTTCAATCACAGGTGTGAGGTGTTACCTCATTGTGATTATAATTGAATTGTGATTGTAATTTGAATTTCCCCAATGATTAGTAATGTTGAACATTTTTTAATAAACCTGTTGGCCATTTATAAAAATCAAGTTATTTGTTTTATTCCTATTGAGTTGTCTGAATTCCCTACATATAGAATATTAACCTTATTAAATGTATGGTTTATAAATATTTTCTCCCATTTGTAGGTTGTCTCTTCATTCTGTTGACTGTTTCCTTTTCTGTGCAGAGCTTTTCAGTTTGCGAATCCCATTTGTCTACTTTGCTTTTGTTGCTGGTACCTATAGACTCAGCTCCAAAAAATTTATTACTTAAGTCAATGTCATGGAGCTTTTTTTCGTTCTATTTGCTTCTAGTAATTTTACAGTTTCAGGTCTGAAATTTAAGTCTTTAATATATTTTGATTTGATTGTTTTTCTGTGTTATAAGAGTCTAATTTTATTCTTCTGCATGTGGATATCCAGTTTTCCTAGCATCATTTATTTTCCTCTAATTTATTTATTTTAAATTAACAAATATAATTGTATATATTTATCAAGTACATGATGTTTTTCTGTGTATATACATTGTGGAATATTTAAATCTAGCTGATTAAAATATGCATTACCTCACAGTTATTATTTTTGTGGTGTGAACATTTTACATCACTCAGTATTTCTCAGCACCATTTATTGAAAAGACAATCCTTTCTCCATTGTGTGTTCCTAGAATCTTTGTCAGAAATCAATTAACTGTAAATTCATAAAATTATTTCTGGGTTCTCTATTCTGTTCCATTGGTCTATGTGTCTGATTTTTGTACCAGTACCATACTGATCTGATTACTATGGCTTTGTTTTAGATTTGAAATTAAGCAATGTGGTGCAATCACCTTTGTTCTTTTTGCTCAACATTGCTTTGGCTAGTCAGAGTTTTTTGTGGCTTCATACAAATTTTAGGATTGTTTTTTCTAGTTCTGTAAAAAACTGTCATTGGAACTTTGATAGCTATGGATTGAATACATAGATTGTTTTGGGTAGTTTTCAGTGTGCAAGTTTTTTTTTTTTTTTTTTTTTTTTACCATCTTTGTTGAATTTTTTTCCTTAAGTACTTTATTTTTCTTGATGTGGTTATAAATGAGATTGTTTAATTATTTCCTTTTCAGATTCTTTGTAGTGCATAGAAACACAGGTGATTTTTGTTTATTTTTTATTCTGCAACTTTACTGTATTTGCTTATTAGTTCTAACAGTTTTTTTGGTGGAGTCTTTAGAGTTTTCTTTTTTTTTTTTTTTTTTTTTTTTTGAGATGGAGTCTCTCTCTGTTGCCCAGGCTGGAGTGCAGTGGTGCAATCTTGGCTCACTGCAAGCTCCGCCTCCCAGGTTCATGCCATTCTCCTGCCTCAGCCTCCCAAGTAGCTGGGACTACAGGTGCCCGCCACCACGCCTAGCTAATTTTTTGTATTTTTAGTAGAGACAGGGTTTCACCGTGTTAGCCAGGATGGTCTCGATCTCCTGACCTCATGATCTGCCCACCTTGGCCTCCCAAAGTGCAGGGATTACAGGCGTGAGCCACTGCGCCCGGCCTAGAGTTTTCTATATGTAAGATCATGTGTCTGCAAGCAAGGACAGTTTAACTACTATTCCAGTTTAGATGCCTGTAGTTTTTTTCTCTTACCTAATTTCTCGGGGTTAGACTTCCCTTTCAGTGTTGACAGAAAAAGGGAAAGTGGGCATATTTGTCTTCTTCCTGATCTTAGAGGATAATGTTTCAGCTTTTCATGGTTGAATATGATGTTAGCTGTGGGCTTGGCATATATGGCGTTTATTGTGTTGACTTAAAGAAAATCTTAATTTAGATAAAAAAGCAAATGAGTAATGACAATTTAACTCTGAACAAATGGAGAGGTGAATATCTAATGTTATGTTGAAAGTTAAAAGTTAACCAAAGTTTGTTGATCATAGAGCAAGGCTTTCTGATATATACTTCACAAATAAATTTTGCCATGATAAGTACAACAAAATGCATGGAATCACGAAAGCAAATTAAGAGGTAAAAATGTTAAGCAATTTTTCTTAAAGAGCATATATACATATATTATAAAGCATTTTTACTGAGTTTTACTGTCTAACTTCATTTATTGCATCTAGAATGAACTTTTAGAAAAAGTAAACTCAAATCAATCTCATTTTTTTCACATTTATTATGCCTTAAAAATGAACACATAATCACAGAGTAATAAAGCTGGAAGAGGCATGAGACATTAAAGAGAAAATCCTTACTTTTTGGAAGAGAAAATGGTCAAGGGTGTTAATTTCATGAAAGTGGCTGGGGAAGCTTTCTGAGGGACCTACTGTGACCCTTCCTCCACTTTGCTAGCATCATTGACGGCTGGAAACCTTTATTTGCACTGTAGTTTTTCCTCCATGGAGCTTTTCTGCTGCAGTTGTGTAGCTTTGTTGGCAAAACAGATCCTTGCCAGTGTCTGTTTGTGTTTTTGGAATAGTCACATCATTCACAATTTTATGTTCACATTGCACTTTTCATGTCATAAGAGTCAAGAACCTCCATGCTCAGATGCACTCTGCACCTGTGTTGGGAGTTGGCAAGAGGCTCAACTCAGCTGAGTCACCCACCAAACACACTTTGGCACTGTCAGAATAAGGCAAAGACTGCTGCTGCCACAGACTTCTTCTGGTGGTAACTCACACCCGGTATGGAGGGTGGCAGAGGTCAATGGGCAGAGCAGCAAGGCTGGGGTCCTGTGAGGTGCAAATTCCAGGTGTCAGGATCATGAGGGAATAGCAGCTTCAAGTCCTGGACACATGACGCATTATCCCATCAGAATTTACTTAAAAATACAAATTCAGAGATATCATTAAGAATTAGGCCAGGCTTGGTGGCTCACGCCTGTAATCCCAGCACTTTGGGAGGCCAAGGCGGGCAGATCACGAGGTCAGGAGATTGAGGCCATCCTGGCCAACATGGTGAAACTCTGTCTCTACTAAAATACAAAAAATTAGCCGGGTGTGGTGGTGTGTGCCTGTAGTCTCAGCTACTTGGGAGGCTGAGGCAGGGGAATCACTTGAAGCTGGGAGGCAGAGGTTAAAATAAACCGAGATCATGCCATTGCACTCCCGCGTGGAAACAGAGCAAGACTCTGTTTCAGAAAAAAAAAAAAAAGAATTAAAAGCTTGCAATGAAGATCATTAAACTCTTAAGTGCTGGCCCTTCTAAGAGTTGGGCGCTGTGGAACTGTACTAGTCACCCATCCAAAGATTCAGCCCTGCCTAGAGATGGTGGAAAATCTCAAGAATGAGAATATATTCATCTCGCATATTGTTTAATGGAATTGGGGACAGAAAATGGTTGATTACATTTTAGCTATAAAGTAAGATTCATGCAAAATATGCATATATATAGACACTCAGTTGTTTTATAATAAAGATTATTAGTAACAACTTTTGCCGTATAGTTTAAATAGCATTAGTATTCTCTAATTCATGAATATTTAAAAAGTCAGATTGTTTGTGCTCAAGCAAACATGCAGTTTCTTCATTTTCAAAATGCATATAATACTTGAACCTAACTTATTAGGTTGTTGACAAGATTAAATAATACAGAGCAAGGCATAGACGTGGGTCAGTCATATAGAGCTCAATAAATATTAATAATTTGTTATTATTGTTACCATTACTATATTTTGGATTTATGTTTTCTATTAGTAGCACTGCAATACATTTTCTTATACCAAACATTTTTAATAATGTCTCACTCAAACAGATTTCCAGGAGATAAATGATTAGATTAATGATTGTGTTTAAGACCCTTGACAAATCAGTCAACTCATGTACTTCCAAATGGACTTCAAAATACAGTACATGTATAATTAATTACACTTCTACTTGCTGCACAGGAAACACTCTACTTTATAGATGACTAGTTTAATACTTTAACACTCCAATATTTGGAAAAGAGTGTGTGTTTGTCTGTGTGTGTGTGTGTGTGTGTGTGTGTGTGTGTGTGTGTGTGTTGCCCCTAGGTTCCAGATGAGTGAAATTCTGGGAGGCTTAGCTTCAAAATTAATAGCAGATGGCTCTAGAGGAGATACACTGGTTCTTACCAAGTGTCACTGGAATAACACAGGATGCTACACTGATGATATGAGATTGATGTAGAATTAGCTCAAGCTATTCTGAAGCAGCTAAAAGAATCAAGTATTCATGTGAAATGTACCTATAAAATCAATATAAATTTTTGACAGAGTAGTTAGCCATTTTCCATATTTGTATCAAGTAGTTTGGTAAGTGCCTTAGTCGTTGATATTCTTTTGAATATGAGGATCTATTTCAGGCATCAGACACACTTCAGTGTAATGATTTCATAATAGCAATTCCTGTTTGCTACTGATCCAACACATAGCCAAGATAACTTTATGATCACCTTCTGGAATTGCAAAATGCTCCCAATAAATATGGGATTTATGAGTAAATAATGCCTGCTAATGCATATGACTCATTTCAACACCCCTGGCAATCTCTCAGCTGGACATTCTTTTATTTCCTGCTTAAGTCAAGAGTAAATTGAAAACCACACAGCTAACATGACAATTGTGTTACCCTAAGAGATGAGTCATAACTGTGACATAATAATGAATCAAACTCTGGCATATCCTTTTGCAATAAAAGTTGCTGTCATGTGAGTAGACCAGTGGATATTTTATGTAAGATATTTCTGGCATTAAGTGGAACAATTTGGAGTAGGAAAGAGGATTTAATTTTAAAAGTTAATTTCTATAAAAAGTGCCTCTTTCAATAATTCCGATGTGTAATGATATGGAAATATTTTCTTGGTTCAAAATAAACATATAAATATTAAAGAAGTAAGTATAGGGTTTGCATTTTAGCTTTATCTGCATGTCACCTAACAAGTACATTAAATTTCTCAATTGAGAGAGATGATATGGCTCTGTCCTATTCATTATTAAAAGGTGATTTTTCAGCATACAAAAGAAATGTAGTGAAATATAAATTATTTTACACAGACCACATAGTAGAGGATGTCACTGTTTCTGAGAGTAGATTTGTATTGTTTGCTCTTATTTGATTTTCTCAAAAGAATGTAATGTTAATTATCAAACAAAATATTCTGGCTAATAAGTAAACCAAAGCAAAATAAAAAAAAGGTAATAATAAAAAGAAAAGGGGAGACATATAGATTACTTTGCAAAAGCCTTTGGCAGGCTGAGACTGGCAGAGCACTTGAGGTCAGGAGTTCAAGACCATCCTGGCCAACATGATGAAACCCCGTCTCTACCAAAAAAAATACGAAAATTAGCCAGGCATGGTGGCACACGCCTGTAGTCCCAGCTACTTGGGAGGCTGAGGCATGAGAATCGCTTGAACCCATCAGGCAAAGGTTGTGGTGAGCTGAGATGGCGCCACTGCACTCCAGCCTGGGTGACAGAGTGAGACTCCGTCTCAAAAACATAGTAAAATAAATAAAAATTACTCTGCAAAATGTTCCTAAATAAATGTTCTGTTACAAGTATTTTTCAGTGACAGAACATTTGTAGTAGTGATATATTTAAAACTGTGTTCTAATATCCTTTCTGTTGAGGATTATAAAAATAGCATTTGAAGTTAAACACTAGAAATGTTTATTTATAAAATATTTTCTTAATTAAAGAAATGTTAAAATTGGCATGTATTATGTTGGGTTCTTCTGAAATATGTTCTGAAGTTTCATGATAACAAAATAGATTTTTTTCTATCTGAAAATATTGAGATATGTTTCTCCCCCAAGTAGGTATGTTAAACTGTACACATTTGTAAGACTTTGGTTGCGTTGCAAGCAGATATCTTTCAAGAGACAGCTAATAATATCTGAAAGATGTTCTTTAAATCTCTAAACTAACTGTGCTGTTTGGGTCCATTTTCTATTTCAAAATTTTATTGATGATTCTGTTTCTTAAAAAATAACTTGTAATCAAATTATTCATTTTTTTAACAGTTTTCCCTTTTAATGTTACTCATAAGTTCATAGTTCCAAGTATTATATCCTATATATTAAAAATTTTAGTACATTGTATTAAAAAGTCTTGGTAGCATTGCCACATCCATCCCTCATAAAGAAGGACATCAAAATTTCAAAACATGCAGGCAATGGTACTAAAATGTTGCCTGAGCCATTATCTACAATTACTTATGTAAGACTTTATAAAAGTGAACATTCATTTAAAAATGGAATAGCATCATTTTGCATTGTGTCTTAAGTTTTGTGAAAAAGTATATTTTCCATGCTTATAAGGATTATCCGAGAGAAGTTTCCTTTATGCAGCCTTTCTCATGCTTCTTTCCTTAATTCCTAATTATATAACCATCTATATATTTCATTGACTTACATTGAAATGTTAGCTGTCCTGATATGTCTCAGCCTAATATCTAAAATTATGGTCAACTATCTTGATACTAATATGACATAACCCTTGACAATTCTGACTTTTAAAAAAATAGAGAAAAAAATTAAACTATGAAGACACTAGTTGTGAGGAGAACATCACATAGGATTTAATAAATAATATTATATAGTATAAAATCACTTTTAATACTTTTCTAAGAAAGACTTTGTGATTAGTACATAGCTATAAATCCAAGATATTTTCTGATTAACAGGCAAGATATAGAAGTGGCTTGATCTTTTGTCCTTTATGCATTATATAAAAAATTGGAGAAACATATTATTACAACAATTTTAATGTTATGTTCATTGCAGAAGTAAACTAACTACAGATTTCATAATGCTAAATTTGTTACTTGGTAAAGTAAGAATCATAATAGCCAGCCATCAGTTTATCTTTTGTGAATGACATTATATCTAGACACTACAATTTCCTAATCGATCATACAGTTTATGTAATGTTTATACTAATTAGTTAACTGATACACAAAATCAAAATGGTTATAAAATCCAATATAAAATTGACTGGAAATGCACACCTAGATATAAAGATTAATAGTAGTCTAAGTTTTAGTACTTACCTTTAATGTAAGATAAACACACTTTCTCTAGTCTAATTCTCCATGGCTATACTAATTTTTTCTTTTTGTCTGTGAGGTTACCAATTTCTACATGTAATATTAGAGGATTTTTAAGGTGTTGTTGAGAGAAGGGTATATAATTCACCAATTAAGTGTCATTTTCGTTAAAAGGACACTAAAACCTAGACATTGTCCTTCACAGGGTAAGCTAATTCTAGAGGCAGTAGATGGACCACTATTTCTAATTTCACGAATGTAGCATAGTAATTGGGAATTATATTTTTTAAAAAATAATTATTTTTAATTGATAAATTACAGATTACGTATCTTTGGTATACAATGTGATGTTTTGATTTATATGCATACAAACATAGGAACATAAACATAGTGGGATGATTAAATCAAACTAATAATCATATTCATGACCTCACATATTTATCATTTTTTAATGAGAACATTTCAAATCTACTCTGAGCAATTTTAAGTATATTATACATTACCAATTATGATCACTATACTGTACAATGTATCTCCAGTACTTATTTCTCCTATCTAACTGAATGAAACTTTTTACCCTTCAACTAATCTCTCACACTCTGTAATTAAAGAAATGCTGCTTTTAACTTCAGATTGTGAGAAGCAAAATTCTGCCTCTACCACTTAATAGCATTGCAACATAGGGAAAAAAAAATGTGGTTAATGTGACTAGTTAAATATTTTTGTTAGTTATTAAATGGAAAAATAAAATGTACCCCCAGTTATTGTTTAGTGGGGAAAAATGATAAAAATAGTTTAAATTTTTGGTACATATTAAATAATAAATAAGAGCTAATCATCATCAATTATTTGAGAATTTACAGAAACTTATTTTGATAAATTAACCTGTAAAAATGCCATGATTATGATTATCATTGGTGTGTATATATAGAGAGATACATCTATCTATCTATCCAAACACACCCCTCCCACACTGCTACATATAAATCTATATATTTAATGGATACACAACTTCCAAATAAATCCAGAGATTAAAAAGGAGACTTTATAACTGATACTGCAGAAATTCAAAGAATCATTGGTGGCTACTATTAGCAACTATATGCCAATAAATTGAACAATCTAGAATAAATGAATACCTAGATAAATACCACCTACCAAGATTGAACCAGAAAGAAATAAAAAAACTGAACAGACCAATAAAATGTAATGAGATCAAAGCCATAATAAAGTCTCCCAATAAAGAAAAGACCAGGACTTGATGGCTTCACTGCTGAATTCTACCAAACACTTAAAGAACTAATACCAATCCTCCTCAAACTATTCCAAAAAACAGAGGAGGAGGAAATATTTAAAAAGTCATTATGCAAGGCCAGTATTACACTGATACCTAAACCAAAGACATCACAAAGAAAGAAAACTACAGGCTAATATCTCTGATGGATATTGAATCAATAATCTCCAATAAAATACTAGCAAACCAAATTCAACAATATGTTAGAAAGATCTTTCATTATGACCAAGTGGGATTTATCCCTGGGATGCAAGGATGGTTCAATACATGCAAATCAATCAGTTCAATACATCATATCAATAGAATGAAGGATAGAAACCATATGACCATTTCAATCGATGCTGAAAAAGCATTTGATAAAGTTCAACATCGCTTCACAATAAAAAGTCTCAAAACTGGGATAGAAGGAATATTCCTCAATGTAAAAGAGCCACATATTCAGACCCACGGCTAGTATCAAACTGAATGAAGAAGAACTGAAAGCCTTTCCTCTAAGATCTGGAACATGACAAGGATGCCCACTTTCAACACTGTTATTCAACATAGTCCTAGAATTCCAAGCTAGAGCATCAGACAAGATAAAGATATAAAGGGCATCAAAATTGGAAAGGAAGAAGACAAATTATTATAGTTTACAGGCGATATATAGTCTTATACTTGAAAAAACCTAAAGACGCCACAAGAAAACTATGATAACTGATTAACAAGTCCAGTAAAGTTTCAGGATACAAAAATGAGTAACATTATGCCAACAGTGAACAATGTGAAAAGGAAATAACAAAGTAATCCCATTTACAATAGCAATGCATAAAATTAAATACCTAGGAATTAACCAAAGAAGTAAAAGATCTCTATAATAAAAACTATAAAACAATGAAGAAAAAAATTGAAGAGGATACCAAAAATGGAAAAATATTCCCTGTTCATTGATCAGAAGATTCAGTATTGTTAAAAGTCCGTACTACACAAAGCAATCTACAGAGTCAATTCAATTGCTATCAATATACCAGTGAAATTCTTTATAGAAATAGAGAAAACAATTCTCTAATTATAAACAAAAGACCCAGAATAGCTAAAGCTCTCCTAAGAAAAAAAAAACAAAAGAGAAATCACATAACCTGACTTCAAATTAGACTACAGAGATATAGTAATCAAAACATCATGGTACTGGCATAAAAATAGACATGTGGACAAATGGAAAAGAACAGAGAACTCAGAAAAAAATTCAGACACCACAAGATGCCAAGAATATACACTGGGGGAAAGACTGTCTCTTTAATAAATGGTGCTGGGAAAACTGGATATTCATATGCAGAAGAATGAAACCAGACCCCTGTATCTAGTCACATACAAAAATCAAATCAAAATGGATTAAAGACTTAAATCCAAGACCCAAAACTATGAAACTTCTATAAGAAAACATTGGGGAAAGTCTTCTGGACATTTGTCTTGGCAAAGATTTCTTGAAAAATACCATACAAGCACAGGTAACCAAAACCAGTGTGGACAGATTGGTTCACATCAAGTTAAAAAGCATCTGCAGAGCAAAGGATGCAATCAACAGAGTGAAGAGACAACCCACAGAATGGGAGAAAATTATTTGCAAACTACCCCTCTGACAAGGGATTACTAACCAGAATATGTAAGGAGCTCAAACAACTCTATAGAGAAAAAAAAATCTAATAATTTGAATAAAAAATGGGCAAAAGATATGAATAGACATTTCTCAAAATAAGACATACTAATGGCAAACGGACATATGAAAAGATGGTTAATATCATTGAATGTCAGAGAAATGAAAATCAAAAAACTTCAATAAGATATCATTTTACCCCCAGTTAAAATGACTTATATCCAAAGACAGGCAATAACAAATGCTGTTGAGGATGTTGAGAAAAGGGATTCCTCATACACTATTGGTGAGAATGTAAATTAGCACAACCACTATGGACAACAGTTTGGAGATTACTCAAAAAACTAAAAACTGAGTCACTGTATGATCCAACAATCTAACTGTAGGGTATATACCCAGAAGAAAGGAAATCAGTACATGAAAAAATATCTCTGCTCCTATGTTTGTTGCAGCACTGTTTGCAATAACTAAGATTTGGAAGCGACCTATGTGACCATCAACAGATTACTGGATAAAGAAAATGTGGTATATATACACCATGGAGTACTATCCAGCCACAAAAATCAAAAGGATCCAGTCATTTGCAACAACATGCATGGAATTGGACGTCATTACTTTAAGTGAAGTAATCCAGGCACAGAAAGACAAACATTGCATGTTCTCACTTACTTGTGGGATCTAAAAGTCAAAACAATTGAACTCATGAACATAGAGAGTAGAAGGATGGTTACTAGAGGCTGGGAAGGGTAGTGCGGGGCTGAGGGGAGGTGGTGATGGTTAATGGGTACAAAAAGAAATAGAAAGAATGAATAAGACCCCTATTAGATAACATAATAAGATGACTATAGTCAATTTTAAAATAACTTAAAGAGTGTAATTGGATTCTTTGTAATCCAAAGGCAAATGCTTGAGGGGATGGATACCCCATTCTTCATGACGTACTTATTTGACCTAACATGCCTGTATCAAAACATCTCATATACCCCGTAAATATATATACTTACACATAAAATTACATATATGTACACATAAAAATTAAAAATAAAAAAGAATCAAAAAAATTTGGAGATATACTCGTATCCCAAAATGTTAGATAAAACTGATGTTATTATTTTCAATTAATACAATTTATGCACAGACAGGCAGGCAGTTATATAACAAATCTGCTAACTGGGTTTTGCTCAGAATGAAATGTCTAAAACAAAGTGGGACATGAATAATCATCAATGGCAGGAATAATCAGGTTTTTTATTCCTAAAGAATTTTCTCTCATGCTAATCTCTACCCCACCACCATATATGCAATTTCTGCTTACAAATGTGAACTTCAGAAAATTTTTATTTTTGTAAAACTCATGTTTACGTCTTATTTTTTATAACACTGTATTAATATCATAAAGGTGCAATCTAGGTGGTTTCGTACTTGAAAATTAGTTACAGAGCATCTTGTTAGAATGCAAAGAATGAGTGTTCTAAAAGCAGTGGTTCTGTTACTGGCAGAGCATCCATATGGGTCTGCAAAAACCTCAATTCTTGCCTACTCAGGAGAAAGAATTTGACCAAGGAGGCATGAGGCAGAAGGAGAGACTGAGGCAAGTTTTAGAGCAGGAATGAAAGAAAGTAAAGTACACTTGGAAGAGGGCCAAGCGGTGACTTGAGAGATCAAGTGCTTAGTTTCACATTTGACTTGGGGTTTTATATATTGGCTCACTTCCCATGTCTTGCATCCTTTCTCCCCTGATTCTTCCCTTGGGGTAGGCTGTCCTCATGCACAGTGGCCTGGTAGCACTTGGGAGGGGAGCATGCACAGTGTGTTTACTGGAGTTGTACACGTGCTCACTTGAGGCATTCTTCCCTTACCAGTCTAGCATTCCTAGAGGAAGGTCAGATACCGGTTAAACTACACAATTTTGCCTCTTAATGCACATGCTTGAGCCCATTTGCCCAGTTCCTGAGATCTTATTGGGAAGCTGCTAATCACCAGTTTCAGTTCTATCTATTAGGAGACAGGCCATCTATGATTAACTAGTATTTTAAAGAGACAGTTAACAACCACCTGGCCCTCACCTGATGGTCACCTGACATTCCTAGTGTGTGTGTTGAGCGGGGGGAGGAGCCCTCTTCTGTGCTGCTCATGCCTGACTAGCTACCTACTGTAAATAACAGTTCTAGGCACAAACTTTGGCTCTGAGACTTACTAGTTATTTGGCATTGAACAAATAAATTAACACCTCCAGAGACAACTGTAAATTGGAATGGCACATTTGTCCAGACCATGGCAGAGAAAAGGTAAAGGGTAATTTGGGGTGGGACTATGGCATTAACCAACGTATGGAAGTGAATATTCAATGCCAGGCTTGGCAAAATATGAACAAATACTGTGGCAGAAAGTGGTTCCAGAAGAAAGACATTTGAATCTTGTCCTGTAGATACTAGTGGTGCTTTAAAATTTATTAAGCAAGACATGAATAAAGCAATGGAACATTAATTTTGTAGAGATGCACAAAGTAATTTGAAGCTGAATATAATAAAACCAGTAATGGCATCTAGAAAAAACAGTTGCATTGAACATATGTGTTTACCTCCATCCTCCTCCAAGACTCAGTCAAATAATAATAAACTTATAAAATAAGAAAACATAAACAAAGAATTACAAAAACCCATAGGAAAACAGGAACAAAATCAGTAAATCTGGAAAGGGAATAGGCAAAAGGTAGTAGAAAATTCATAAAAGGTAAGCCTTCCTGGAATAATCATGGAAGAATCCTGATTTGTGTAAATTAATTCCAAAATGATGCACAAATTAAAAGAAGCAGTCATCACAGAGTTGATGGAAAAGTGAAGCAGACAAGTATTATTTGGAAGTCTGCTTAACAGGCAGACAAAATTTTCTATCAATATTGACAGAAAGAAAATTATCCCTCCAAAGCAAGAGAAAATATTAGAGCCTGTTCCTTGCAGTCAGTAAAACATGAGAAATATGAAAATGGGAAAACTTTGCACAGATGTGAGTGGGGTACCTTACACAAATAGGCATAGTCAGAGAAGTCTATCAACCGAATGGTGAGAGCTACCCTAATCTCAGTTCTATTCCCTCAGCAGGCTTTGAAAAAATCATTGAGGATTATACAGTCCTTTCAATCAGAATATTAAAAACTTCCTTTGTAGAAAGCCCAACCTGTGGGATAAAGGAAGAAAGAAAAGAATAAAAGATGAAAAAAAAGGAAAGGAAGGAAGAAAACTTGAGAATTTGCAATACCCTAGTGACACAGCCTAATCAAATACCCAATAAAACTCTCTGCTCTTCAAGCCATGTTATGCACACAGAGTTCTTCGATTAGTGTGCAGCCAAAGAGCAGAAAACATTTGTAAAACAAAACAAAATAAAATAAAATGTCAATTAAAAGGTAAAGATATACAACCAAACAGACAGGAAAATCAAACCAAGGCTGTAAGGACAGTCTGTCAAACAAGAGATGACCTCAACACATGTATACACCATCCATACTACGCAGCCTCTAAGAGTGATCCCTGTCCCTAGCCTTCGTGACTGTTTTAATCTGTTTTTATACTGCTCTAAAGACTGGGTAATTTATAAAGAAAACAGATTTAATTGAATCACCACTCTATGGCTGGGAAGGCCTCAGGAAACTTACAATCATGGCAGAGGGTGAAGGGGAATCAAGGAGAAGTGCCCAGCGAAGGGGGAAGGGCCCCTTATAAAACCATCAGATCTCCTGAGAACTCACTATCAGGAGACCAGCATAGGGGAACCTCTCCACGATTCAATTACCTCTACCTGGTCTTTCCCTTGACACATGAGGATTATGGGTATTATGGAGATTATGGGGATTACAATTCAAGATGAGATTTAGTGGAGACACAAAGCCTAACCATATTAATGACCTTGCATACATCTCTTTCTTTGAATAACTTGCTACCAAAATCAGTATAGGAGGCTTGCAGCCTGTGCACGTGGGGTGAGTGGGGAGAAAGGAAGGATTCACTTCCTTCCCTCTTGGGCTAGGAAGGCGTCACCAGGAAAGCACCCACAGCAGGTAGGGGCAACCTCAGGGCTCCCAAGGACCAGAGATCCCACAGGACGATCCTGCCATTGCAAGAGGCTACCGACTGAGGCCCCTTTCATGCCTCCCCGACCGCAAATATTCCCCCTACAAGGCCCGTCCCAAACAATTCCTGCTGTGCACATTGATGTTCTCATGCCTTGTAGCATGTCGAGCTCTGTCTCGTCTTGCACGTGGGGACTTAGCATTTAATCACCCTTAAAAACCCATCCAAGACCTGTCCCCATTAAATGATGCTGCCACACTGCAGCGACCCGAAGAGGAGGCCTCCATCTCTGACCCACCCACTACCTACCACAGAAACTCCACAGTGGCTTCCCAGCCTAGGCGTTATCCTGAGATGCCACTCAGTGAATCTGACACACGTGGGGGCGACCCTTCGAGGCCTCCCTCCAACATCCCACCCACCCTCCAGGGGAGACCAGGCCTCCCACTCAGATGGTGGCTCCCAGCTACCACAAAAGTAAAGTAAAATAAGTATTTTTAAAATGTCACTTCTGTGATTAGGTATTTATCATCTTGCTATTGGACTCTCTCTATTGCCCAGATTCTTGACCCACAAAAACTGTGAGGTAAGAAATGTAACAAATATGTGTTATTTAAAATGACAAGTTTGGGGTGTGTTTTGTTGTGCCCCATTAGTTAACATGCACACACAAACAGACATACATGCACACACATATACACATACATGCTGATAAAATACAATACGTGCTTTCAGAAATTTCTTAAAATCCAAACAAAGAAGAGAGAAAAAAAGATAGAAAAGGGTATACTATCTCTTATTTCTTTGAACGTTCTACATTCTGGTATGAATATTTTATTATTTGATTATATATAAATAAATATACACATGCATACATACTCACATATTTATATATAGGTAAACATACACACGTATATATATTATATATAAAATACATATACCCATTATAAATATGTATTATATATAATATATATAAAATATAAAATATATATAATATATATAATATATACTCATTATAAATATATATTTATATATGTAAATTATATATATTTGTGTATAAATATATTATATATTTTTATATATTTGTATATAAATATATATTATATATTTTTATATATTTATATATTATATATTATAATATATATTATAGATTATATTATATATTATAATACGTATTATAATACATATTATATATTATAATATGTATTATAATATATATTATATATTATAATATATAATATATATTATAATATATAATATTATATATTATAATATTATATATTATAATATATAATATTATATATTATAATATATATTATATATTATATATTATATATTATATTATATATTATATTATATATATTGTATTATATATTATATTATATTATATATATTATATTATATATTATAATATACATTATATATTGTAATATATATCATATATTATATTATATTATATTGTATTATATACATTATATATTATAATATATATTATATATTTTATATTATATTATATTATATAAAATATATTTTATATTATATTATAATATAAAATATATTTTATATTATAAATATTATAATATATTATCATATATTTATATATTATAAATATTATAATATTTATAATATTTATAATATATTTATATATTATATATTATAAATAATATTTATATTTATATATTATATTATATATTAATATCTAAATATACATATTATATATTATACATGTATATATTATATATACATATTTACATATAAATATATATTATATATCTAATATATTAATATAATTATATATATAATATATAATATATATAATTATATTATATATTAGATATATAATTTATATATTATATATAAATAAAATATATATTATATATAAATTATATATAATATATTTATATATTTTTATATATTTATAAAAATACATATAACATATATATCATTATAAATATATATGTTGTATATATATATAATGGGTGTGTGCGTATATATGTATATATACATACGTATATGTATATATGTGTGTATATACATATACATACATACGTATATATGTGTATATAGACATATATACACATATATACGTATATATACATACATATACGTATATATACATACATATAAGTATATACGTATATATACGTATATATATGTATACGTACATACGTACGTACGTATACATATATACATATCGTATATACATGTATTAGGTCATTCTCATGCAGCTATGAGGAAATACCCCAAACTGGGTAATTTTTAAAGAAAACAGGTTTAATTGACTCACAGTTCTATATAGTTGCGGAGACCTCAGGAAACTTACAATCAGTCTTCACAGGGTGGCAGGAGAGAGAATGAATGCCAGCAGGGGAAATGCCAGATGCTAATAAAACTATCAGATCTGAATCTCGTGATAACTCACTCACTATCATCAGAACAGCATGGGGGAAACGGCCCCCATGATTCAATTCCCTACAGGATCCCTCCCACAACACATGGGGATTATAAGGATTACAACTCATGATGAAATTTAGGTGGGGACACAGCCAAAACATATCAACCCATATGTAGAGAGAAACATATAGAGAAATATTTTTTGTCAATGTTATATTTTTAGGGAGTGTCTTCTAATTTCTTTCAACTAATCTTCTTCTTTTTTTTTTTTTTTTTTTTTGAGACAAAGTCTTGCTCTGTCACCCAGGCTGGAGTGCAGTGGTGCAATCGTGGCTCACTGCAACCTCTGCCTCCTGGGTTCAAGTGATTCTCATGCCTCAGCCTCCCAAATATCTGGGATTAGAAGCATGTGTCACCTTTCTCAGCTAATGCTTTGTATTTTTAGTAGAGACGGGGTTTCTCTGTGTTGGTCACAAACTCCTGGCATCAAGTGATCCACTTGCCTTGGCCTCCCAAAGTGCTGGGATTACAGGCCTGAGCCACCACAGCTGGCCGTCTTCCTACCAATCTTCTATTAAAGATTTTATCTGTGAATTTCTCCAGTCTTTTATGTCCCTGTCTTTGCCTCTGCCGTTGCATCATGATCAATTATTAGATATTTAATATGATAGAATAATCATTGGGAATAATTTCATTCCAATTCTAAAATCAATATCAATCAATGACAAGTATGTTTATACCTCCTATTAACTCAAAAAAGTACCTTCCCTCATTGGGACAACGCCATGGGGGTGGTGAGCAAATACAGGTGATGTATACAAAGAAGATGGCAAAATACATCCTCAGAAGCTAAAGCGTATCCTCATATTGGGGCTGTATGTGTTGAACTCCAGCAAACCATAAGATAGAATACTTTTTAATGTATCTTGGTTTTCCAGTACTTTATTTGGGATGAGTTTGATCCATGGAAATAGATTATTTCAGCATGTCTTACATTTTGGGTATCATTGAAAAATTTGTACAGTTTTATGATAAGCATATCCTAAATTTTTCTCACATTTTACTGATTAATTTCTACTCACCTTTCAGTACTTAAGTCAAATTGTACATCCACCAAAGTTCTTTTACTAATCTTTAGTAAAGACTTGGAATCACTGGCTGGGTTGCTAATTATTTTTCTTGTATTCTTTCTCTGCATATCTTAGAATTATAAACAGTTAAGTTTGGTACTTGGCCAATTGCAATGTTCTGCTAGTTTCCCATGAAAGTGATTCTGGTGTCCTTAGCTGGGTTAATAACACCTTTTCATAATGTTACTAAATATCCAGAACAATAATCTATCATTCACGTAACACACAATATTCCAGGACATCTAAGGCCTTGGAGCTGGTGTTGGTTCAGCCACCCCAAATGTTGTTACTGAATGACGAGAGGTGAATGCAGTTAAGGTATTTTGAAAACACAATGTTGTATCCCATGAGAGATGATTAGTTGGGAATATATTCTGCCAATAGATTCAGTTCTGTCTGAGTATGTCATAAAGTTTCTCATGACTGTCTTTCTTGAATATTAGGTGTAAATAATGAGATATTTGGCCAGCATTTTATGACAATATTCACCTACTCAGATCCTACTGTGATTCTGTAGGTGCCTGATTTTGTAGTGTTCAAACCCCATTTTTTACCTAGAGTAGTCAAAACAGCTTTGTTGTTGCAGCCACATCAAGCAAGCAGCAGCGACGTGTTTCTCTTCAACACGGATAATTGCCTTAACAATACGTCATCCTGGTTCACAACAACGCAGTAGATATGCTGACCACTGACAGTAACAAAATGACCTGCATGGTTCAAAGGTAGAAATTTCAAGTCTGTAAAAGAATGCATATAATAAGCATAATAACCAAAAAATAACTCAATCAACATCAAACAGCTATTATTTACAATGGTGATTAAATGATGTTTGGTGCCATCTTTTTACTAAATCACATATATAGGTACCTTGAAAAATCCTTTTAAACTGATTTATATAAAATTAATCTTCTTATAGGAAATCAAACCTGTGAGCTTTCCCAGCAGCAGCTATGCCATGGTATCACATCTGAAAGTAGCAGTGAAGTGTATTATTCTCCTGTCGTAAGATTGTATTATGAGAGAGAAAAAAAAAAGGTATTTTCTCAACCAAAATTTCTCATTAATATGGGTCATCAACTGCTACAATTTCTCCATGTTCTTCCCATTTATTACCTATCTTAAGCCAGAATCAGTACCCAAATGAGAGCCTCTTTTTTGAGTAGCAGGATTGGAACTGCTGTTTCTTGCTATATTTTCTATCCTCAATATGGAGACAAAGGAAGACAAGGCTGCTTCTGTGACTAAAAATCACTACTTACCATGATTTAGCCAATAAGATGGGATTACTCTCTGACTCATTTTACTTTAGAAAATTCACAAAGTTCATAGGCACTGAGAAAGTACTCTGCACACCAGTGCTTATTCTGCCAAGCACAAAATGAGCAGTCCTAGACCACTCTATTTCCATATAATGGAATAATGTGCCTGTTGGGAAAAACAGGGAACTGGAAGATTCCATCATCCTCCACGCCTTCATTCCTAGCACTACATCCCCACAATTTTTCCAAAGATATCCTCTTTTCCACCCTCACATTTAGATGAAGAACAAATTCACCCATTTACACTAACCAACACTTCTCACCCATATTACGTTTTTATTTCTATTAACAGATATTTGTTTTTTAACCCCAATTCTCAAAGAAATGCCTTTTAGACCATAAAGAATAGCATTCATCCGATGGGCGGGGTGGCTCACACCTGTAATCCCAGCACTTTGGGAGGCCAAGGCGGGTGGATCATGAGGTCAGGAGATCGAGACCATCCTGGCTAACACGGTGAAACCCTGTCTCTACTAAAAATACAAAAAATTAGCCGGGTGTGGTGGTGGGCGTCTGTAGTCCCAGCTACTTGGGAGGCTGAGGCAGGAGAATGGTGTGAACCTGGGAGGCGGTGGAGCTTGCAGTGAGCCAAGACCGCACCACTGCACTCCAGCCTGGGCAACAGTGCAAGACTCCGTCTCAAAAAAAAAAAAAAAAAAGGATAGCATGCATCTGCTTGATGTAATTCTTTTTAGAACATTTTGGATTGCTGGCAGGAAGGAAATGCATTCTTTGTTCTGTTAATATATAACTGGGGAGAACAAATTGATGCAAAATACTTTATTCTATACTTTTAATAACATTCTCTGCTGCTGATTCAGGTAAGCAGTAAACAGAGCCCAAAACGGATTGCATAAGTACTACAGTGACAATCCATTTGAAGCCACCTGGATTTCTTTATAAAGCTCCTGTAGAGTACCACTCCCTGCTAAGTGTGAGAATTTCTCAGGAAATCTTACTCAAATTCAATTTCCTGTTAACAGTCTATATGGTCTTTTATTACATTAGCAGCATTAGTAGAGGCTAGAGGTATACAGCCTTTCCTGTCCAATGTTGCATAACCTGAACATATCTGTGCCTGCTCATTTCAAGTAGCTACCTCCAGGGCCTAAGCAAGGGCATCAGTCTTCACATTCCTGCCACTTTCTGAGCAGTAACTATTCATTATCCACATAACTTACTTTAATTCTTCCTTGAAATTTCCACTTGGAATTTTACAATTGTATTAACAATATAAGGATACCCTTGGAATCCAATCATCCAAGACAGGGCTGGCAAACTCTATAATAAATAATTATTTTATTTTGTAAGATTTTCTTGACGCATTAAAATCCAAGAGTATTAAAATACTTTTGATAACTCCATCAAGAAATGGTCTTCTTTTAAAGTACAGTGAAGACTGGAGTCATTTTTAGCCCCATATATAGCAGCTATGGATCATCTACTGACCTTGTAAAGGAGATGGTATCAGCATCTGTCCTTATGCCTTAATATAGAACAAAGCTATTGATGATGGTCCAAGAGTTCATGTATATCCAAATATTATCCATCTCTTTACCCAAATGAACTTCTTCAACTGATGTTTTATCATCTGCAGAAAGAATGGCTGCATTATTACATACTGCTTTCTTCCCTTAATTTGAGACGCTCATTCATGAATTGGGTTGTGTAGGGGAGGAAAAAATAATTTCCCCTTTATTTTTCTGAATTTATAGTTGAGACCCCTATAACAAAAGGCTGATTAACAAGAGAAAAAAAAATGACAGAAGTTAACATGTTATAACCCATGTATACATGGAACATACCCAGGCAAACATGAGTAAATATTAAAGAGGTGGCTTAAAATGCTGACTTATGTAGCATCATTAACAAAAAACAACATATTGTTATAGAAGCAGCAAGACACAGAAAAAGGACCTTGAATATCTAGTGAGAAGGCAAATAAATGGCAAACTGAAGGTACGTAAAAGCTAGTAAGTAAAGTTTGTGAAATAGATTCATCTGGTGGTGTCTCCAGGCTGATAAAAGTTGAAAGCTTTCTATGATGATCAACTTTTGTCCTTTCTCATTAAAAGGAGGAGTAAATTTGTATCCTGTGTAAATTTATGTCCTGCTTTTAGGCAAGTGGGTGAGGGCACAGAGCTTTTCTTCTATCTGTTTCTTATCAGTTGCCTTCAGCTCAAAAGAATTCTTACGCCAAAGTGGCATATTTTGGATGGCATTATGTGACCCTTTGGGCACCTGCTCTGCTTTAACTCTGAGGCTCAGACTATTCCTTATTAAAAGCTACTAGTTTTTCCAGAAGTTTTATCATTTTTCCCAGAAACAGGATGGCAAATTTTTCATGAGTACACTATAGTCTTCCAGAACTACAGCCTGTCGCCTGTTTTGGCATATGCCATTTCCACTTCATGAATGAATTCTGACCAGCTACTTAACATATCAAAATAAATATTTCTAATGTTACTACAATACTTAATAATACTTACTTAAGGTATACTAGGTACCTTAAGTCTAAAAATTATTTGATATTTCTCAATATTTGCAGCTGTCTCCTCTAAAACCTCATGAAAAGCCACTAAATTTTTTTGAGAAAAGTGTATCTTGCTCCAGTGTTAGGTAGCTTGTTCAAAATCCTAGTATTTGCTGCTACTTGGAGAGACTCAAGATTGCACATATCTATATGCCCGACCTTTCCCCTGTATTGTGTGCTTTAATATGCATTCATATGGCCCCAAACAGTACTACATGTGATATACTATGCTGTAAGATTCCAAAGATAGTTTTAATTCCATATTCTATTTAAATTCATTTCAGGGAATTGGGTTACAAGAGGGTTATCTTATGAATTGGGCCTAGCAGAAAGTACAGATATAGATATTATAGTAGAATTATAGTATATTATACATTTTTATTATTAGTTTGGTTTATTTCTGTATGTGATATGACTTTCATGGCCCCAAGATATATTATATTAGTGAATTATCCGGTGGATACCAATATTGTAGCCAATTTAATTAATCTAGGCTATGATATGTACTATTACACTTCTCCAACATTTCTTAGCCTTTCTCTCTCAAATGGAAATTTTCATAATCTCTTCATTATAATAAATTAATTCCTTTTTGTGGTGGAGAACTCAGGTATCTTTAGGAAAGGAAATATGATTATATCATCACCTACCATTCTATTTATCTAACTTTACTGTCATGAGCATTAGTTATGTTTAGACAGATTGCCTGTTAGGCTTCCTGAAGAGTATTCACCATCTTTGGCATGAACTGCTTTACAATAAACTTTCAGTTTCTACAGGCAAGTCACTGTTTTCACATCTAAGAGAAGAATGTTATAAAATTAGTGAGACTTCTGATTATATCAATTATAGTTAAATATAAACTTTCAAGTTTTTCTTTTTTATAAGATGAATACACGGGCAGGATTTGTCAATTACAAAGATTTCCATTTAGCATGAGTAATTAAGAAGCAAAAGGTAGACTTGCCTGACATTCAGCTATGTACTTACAATCTATTCACACATCAAATACATCTAATTAAGAAATCAGATACAAATTATGCCACCAGAGGGTTGTTCCTTCTTTCTTTCTCTTTCCTTCCTTCCTTTCTTTTCTTTTTCTTTCTTTTCTCTTTCTTTCTTTTTCTTTCTTTCTTTTCTTCTCCTTCCTTCCTTCCTCTCTTTCTCTCTTTTTTTGTCTTGCTTGCTTGCTTGCTTTCCAATCTAAATTATCACCTTAACTCTAATTATTTTTTATCAGGGCATCACTGGTCACTCCAGGTTTTACATTTAGTCTTCTAAAATTTTCTCTTGTTCGCAGACATATCACAGTATATGATCATCACATACAAACATTCCAAAATTTAAATTTGAATATGTATTTTGTAGTCTGTTCTCATGTGCTGATAAAGACGTACCCAATTTACACAAGAAAGAGGTATAATGGACTTACAATTACACATGGCTGGGGAGGCCTCACAATCATTTCAGAAGCAAGGAGGAGCAAGTCACGTCTTACATGGATGGCGGCAGGCAAAGAAAGATAACTTGTGCAGGGGAACTCCTTTTTTTTAAAACCATCAGATCTTGTGAGACTTATTCACTATCACTAGACCAGCATGGGAAAGACCTGCCCCCATGATTCAATTACGTCCCACCAGGTCTCTCCCACAACACTTGGGAATTCAAGATGAGATTTGGGTGGGGACACAGCCAAACCATATCATTCCACTCCAAATATCATGTCCTCACATTTCAAAACAAATCATGCCTTCCAACAGTCCCCCAAAGTCTTAACTCATTTCAGCATTAACTCTAAAGTCAACAGTCCAACATCTCATCTGAGACAAGGCAAGTCCCTTCAGCCTATCAGACTGTAAAATCAAAATCAAGTTAGTTACTTCCTAGATACAATGGGGGTATAGGCATTGGGTAAATAGAGCCATTCCAAATGGGAGAAATTGGCCAAAACAAAGGGACTACAAACCTCATGTAAGTCCAAAATCTAGAAGGACAGTCAAATCTTAAAGCTCCAAAATGATCTTCTTTGACTCCAATTCTCACATCTGGGTCATGCTGATGCAACAGTTGGGTTCCCATGGTCTTGGGCAGCTCTGCCCCTGTAGCTGTGCAGGGTACAGCCTCCCTTCTGGCTGCTTTCATGGGCTGGTGTTGAGTGTCTGTGTCTTTTCCAAGTGCATAGTGCAAGCTGTCAGTGGGTCTACCATTCTGGGGTCTGGAGAATGGTGGCCCTCTTCTCAAAGCTCCACTAGGCAGTGTCCCCAGTGGGGCTCTGTGTTGGGGCTCCAACCCACATTTCCCTTCTGTACTGCCCTAGTAGAGGGCCCTCTATGAGGGCCCCGCCCCTGCAGCAAACTTCTGCCAGGGCACCCAGGTGTTTCCATACATCATTTGAAACATAGGTGGAGGTTCCCAAACCTCAATTCTTGACTTCCTTGCACTCACAGGCTTAACACCTTGTGAAAGCTGCCGAGACTTGGGGCTTGCACCCTTTGAAGCCATGGCCTGAACTGTACCTTGGACCCTTTCAGCCACAGCTGGAGTGGCTGGGACACAGGATGCCAAGTCCCTAGACTGCACACAGTAGAGGGAACCTGGGCCAGCCCCACAAAACCATTTTTTCCTCCTAGGTCTCTGGGCCTTTCATGGGAGGGGGCTGCCACAAAGGTCTCTGATGTCCTGGAGATATTTTTCTCATGGTCTTGGTGATTAACATTCAGCTTCTCATTACTTATGCAAATATCTGCAGGCAGCTTGAATTTTTCCTCAGAAAATGGGTTTCTATTTCCTATTGCATTGTCAGGCTGCAAATTTTCTGAATTTTGATGCTGTTTCCCTTCTAAAACTGAATGCCTTTAACAGCACCCATCACTTCTTGAATGCTTTGCTGCTTAGAAATTTCTTCCTCCAGATACCCTAAATCGTCTCACTCAATTTCAAAGTTCCACGAATCTCTAGGGCAGGGGAAAATGCCACCAGTCTCTTTGCTAAAAACATAGCAAGAGTCACCTTTGCTCCAGTTCCCAACAAGTTCTTCATCTCCATCTGAGACTATCTCAGCCTGGATTTCATTGTCCATATCATTATCAGCATTTTTGTCAAAGCCATTCAGCAAGTCTCTAGGGAGTTCCAAAATTTTTCACACTTTCCTGTCTTCTTTTGAACCCTCCAAACTGTTCCAACCTCTGCCTGTTACCCCATTCCAAAGTTGCTACCACTTTTTCAGGTATCTTTTCAGTAGCACCCTACTCTACTGGTACCAGTTTACTGTATTAGTCCATTCTCATGCTGCTGATAAAGACATACCCGAGACTGGGCAATTTACAAAAGAAAGAGGTTTAATGGACTTACAGTTCCACGTGGCTGGGGAAGCCTCACAATCATCATGGAAGGAAAGGAGGAGCAAGTCACATTGTACGTTGATGGTGGTAGGCAAAGAGAGCTTGTGCTGGAGAACTCTTCTTTTTAAAAACATCAGATCTCATGAGACTTATTTACTATCATGAGAACAGCATGGGAAAACCTGACTCCATGATTCAGTTACCTCCCTCCAGGTCCCTCCCACAACACATGGGAATTCAAGATGAGATTTGAGTGGGGACACAGAAAAACGATATCATGTATGGTTTAAAAATTTAAAGGAAATTTAGTATAATTTAGGCAGTTATCAGGGAAAATACATCAAAAAGTATTGTTCAAAAAATAAAGTTAAGAAGATAAGCAGTTTTGTCATACACTAACTGAAATTCTCTTAATATATTTAAATGTCATTATTGTGAAAGAACATATGTATATTTTATGTTTCAAAGTTTAGGAAGCTGTAGTCAAACTGTTAGTTACTTTCATTTAGAATTACAATTTTTAAGTTGTTTCTCATTGAGTCTCATTGTCATCTAGATCTTCTGTTAAATACTTTATTTCCTAAATGCTGCACCATAACAAAGCATCAAAAGTCTTCTTATGCTGTTGGATTTCAATGGATCAGGAAAATTTTTGCTAAATAAATGCATTATTATATGGTTAAATTGTGTGGATTAACTTTATATACTTAAAAAGAGACATACAGACCATTTAAAACTTTTTTTAAATTTCCTTTCTCTCAGGCTTGAAGGTTATTTACAAAGAGTGAAATTGCATTAAATTGATTGACTTTACCTACTTTATGGCAGTACTCCACAGAATAATTAAGATATCTTTCTAAAAAATCATTACAAACAACGCTAGCCTCTGATCAATTCAGTCCAATTAAGACGAACAAGGATTTCTGATCACATGCTTTAGTGGGTAAAGTGTAATTTAGTTCAATTTTAACATCCCTTCCACGCTGTAATATTTTTTCAATTTTCATCACTTTAACTTTTTAACTTCTTAATCTATTGTCTAGCATGCATTTTCCTGTACGTAGATTTATCTATATCTAAAGTTGCTACTAAGATTTTAGAATTTCATATGTATTATTATTTATACACACCATAAACAAAAAAGAGTTGAAAATTAACATCTACGCCAAGGTTATTTAGGAAATTAGATTATATGTTCCATTTTATAATTAAATAAAAATTTTGAGGGAAATTAGAAAAATAAAACTATTTGTGATTAAATTTTCTTGTTATAAAATGTTCTTAATATTTAGATAAATGCAAATTTGGAATGTAGATTTCCATTTATTTATACACATATATATTAGATAGGTATAGATATAAACACATATATATATATACACACACACAAAACCATATAATGGCTTCTACATGTACACTGAAAGAATTGTTTCTATCAACTAATATGACAATTTCCCTAGGAGACTATAATATTAACATATCTACCATAGCTGTATCTGTATTTGTATTTATAGCTCCTTACTAATCGTTGGCATTGTTCATGGTTCTAATATTTGACTCTTTTTAATCTTCTTTCAGCTGAAGTTTGAGATAAATACCTAGGACATGTATTTTACCATGGGGAGTAGTAAGTAGAAATATTTCTTTGAACAGACTGTAAGGGAAACTGATGGAGAAAGGAGCACATTGACATGTTAGTATACTACACATATTGACAGAGATACTGACCCAGTTCAGGTAAATCTTTCAAGATTAAGAGAAAACCAAAGTTTTAAAGTTATTTAAATTTTCAAAAAACAAACCCCTCAGCAAGTCTAAGTAACCAGATACCCATAGGAATACTTGTGGGAACACCTGTAAATTCAGATTTATGACAAGAGTGCTATAAACCAGAAATAAAATTCTAAGCCCCCTGACAAACTGAATGGATCCCCTCTCAGCCAAGGGCATTCAAAAGTTAAACTCAAAAAAATAGTTCAGGCCATGCATGACAGGAAGGGAGTTGGGACATGCCTCATTATACTCTCTTCCGTTTGGAATTCAGGCACAAGGGACCAGCATAAACATTTAAAGAGACATCTTAAGAGTGAGGAAATAAACTCATCATAGCAATAAGATACTAAATTCCAACCTGACTCTAGTATAGTCTCACATGACAGATAGCAGGCCCTGAAAGAAATCAAAATAATTTACCTCAAAATATATATTTGAAATGGCCCCGAAAAGCCATTCCTTGTGGGGAAATCTACGTTCTATAGAAAATCCCCTTCCCTTTCCAGGTCTTTTCCTAATCCAGGAGAGATTAACTAACAGTCTGGCACCTTTTTGGTCTGATAATAGACAGTCTATGATTTCTGAAACTTGCTACCTGGAGGCTTTATCTGCATAATAAGAACCTTGGTTTCCACAACCACTTATCTTAGCTGATACTCCTTTCTATTGATTCCAGGTCTTTAGATAATAACAATTCTTTCAGCCAATTGCCAATCAGAAAATCTTTAAATCTTTTGGGAAGCCGAGGCAGGCAGATCACCTGTGGTCAGGAGTTCAAGACCAGCTTGGTCATCATGGTGAAACCCTGTCTCTACTAAAAATACAAAAATTAGCCGGGTGTGGTGGCACATGCCTGCAATCCTAGCTACTCAGAGGTTGAGACAGGAGAATCTGTTGTACCAGGGATGCGGAGGTTGTAGTGAGCCAAGATCACGCCACTGCACTCCAGCCTGGGCGACACAGCGAGACTCTTTGTCTCAACAACAACAACAAAAAAAAAAAAAAAAAAAAGGAAGAAAATCTTTAAATCTACCTATGACCTGGAAGCTCCTGCTTTCAGTTATCCTGCCTTTCCAGACAAAACCAATGTATACCTTACATATATGAATTGATATCTGCCTGTAACTTTTGTCCCCTAAAATGTATAAAATCAAGCTGTAACCACCTTGAGCACATGTTCTCAGGAACTCTTGAGACTGTGCCTTTCGCCTTGTTCACTCATATTTGGCTCATAATAAATTCCTTGAAATAGTTTACAGAATTTGACTCTTTTTCATCAACACTTCCAAGGTTATTCAATAGGGAAAGGGCACCCTTTTCAAAAAATAATGTTCAGAAACCTGTACATTCATATTCAAAGAATGAAGTTGGACCCTTACCTAACAACATACACAAAACTTACGTCAATTAGGGTCAAAACTTAAATGCAAGACCAAAAACTATAACACCTTTGGAAGAAAGCATAAGGCAAAACCTTTATGACATTTAATTTAGCTGTAATTTCTTAGATATGACACCCAAGACATAGATAACAAAAGAAAAAAATAGATAAACTGGACTTTATAAATATGGAAAAACTGTACATTAAAAGACACTGTCAAGAGAGTAAAAACACAACCCACAGAACAGAAAGAAAAACATTTGCAATTATATATCTGAAAATTAATAGATATTCAGAATATTTAGGGAACTTACAACATTCAACAATAAAAAAAAGACAACTGAATTCAAAATGATCAAAGGCTTTGAATAAACATTTCTTTAACAAAAACATACCATTTGCCAATAAGCACATAAAAGATTCCCTAATAAATCAAAACTACAGTGATATATTGTCTTACACCTATTTGGATGGCTACCTTCAAAAACACAGAAAATGCCAAGTGTTGACAAGAATGTGGAAAAATTGAAACCCTTATGGCCTGTTAGTGGGAATGTAAAATGATACCACTGATCTGAAAAACAGTATGGTTGTTCCTCAAAAATTAAAAATAGATTTTCCAAATGATCCAGCTTTAAACTTCTGGGTAATTACCCCCAAAATTTCTGGGGGCCAAAGCCCTTGACCCCTAAAGCTTTGCTGAAAAGTCACTTATATGAGGCAAATTAATAGCGGAAAAGTCAGGCAAACTTATTTAATGTGTATACATGGGAGCTTTTCAGAATATAGATTCTATCAACCCCTTAATAACGTACATAATTTTATATACCATCTTGAGATTACAGAAAGAATGCAGGCCCAAAGTATGGCCAAATACAGGTATTAGTGGCAACATGGGCTATGAGAGGGAGAAACGAAGAGGCTTGGCTAGCAAGCCTTGTTGCGTAGATGAAGCCTCACAAGTAGTTGCCTTCAGAGGGAATAGATGGTAAAAGTTTCTTTTCAGACTTTGAAAGATTTCAGACTTTCAGTTAATCTCTCCGATATCCGGGAAAGAGCTAGAAAAGGAAGACTTGACTGAATTAATGGAAATTCTCAAAAGTTGCAAATTTCCTCTGCCTCAGTATTCTGGCCTTGCAGCAGCCATTTCAAAATATGATAAAGAAATACATATGGGGGTAAAATGTTTTGATTTCCTTCTATTGAAAGCAGGTTTTTGAAGAAGTATTTGTACACTTATTATATTCATAGATGCATTATTCACAGTAGGTAAAATGTGAAAGCAACTCATGTCCACCAGCAGATAAATGAGTAAGTAAAATTTGATATATACATCCAATAGAAATGTATTCAGTGTTAAAAATGAATGAAATTCTGACATATGCTACAATATGCATAAACCCTGAGGACATTATTCTAAGTGACTACTACTCCTATGCGAGTAGTTAAAATCCTAAAGACAGAAAGTAGAACCATGGTTGTCAGGATTTCCTTTGGAAAGGGAAAATGGGGAGTTTGTTTTTTAATGGGTATAGTTTCAGTTTTATAAGATGAGAGAGAGAGATGGATGGTGGTGATGGTTGAACATTTTGACTGTATTTAATAACATTGAACCATACACATAAGATTGGCTAAGATAAATTTTGTTTGTTTATTTTTCCTCTATTAAAACAAATTCTAGCAGGAAAAAAAAGCCTAAAAGAAGTTGTATAAATAAACTTCTTTTTAGACTTAGAAATAGAGTAAGAAAATAGTGTATAGTTATTTCATTCTTGATTTTCTAAATTTTATTTAGTAAAACATCAACTTGATTTATTAGCATAGTAACATGGGAGTAACAACAAAATAATAATAAAACAGACAAAAAACACAATATTTAATTAATAGTAAATGTATAAAACATCTTCCATTCTTTTAATTTGCTTTGTATTAACCATTTTAGGGTATATATTTTTGAAAAAGCAGTGAGATGTTTAGATTTCAATATCCATATTTCAATCTTTTAAGTAGAAGGATAAATGGCACTGGTAAAATAAATCCCTGTTGCCCTAAAAATGTCCTGGCAGTTAATATAATTTAACACTTGTATACACTGTATGGTATATTTTTGCCACTTTAAGAACTATAACATTTTATTTTCATATGAATTTTGAAGTGTTAATTATATGAAACCAGTTTTAATAAGAGCTTGATTAGGTAACACTGCCTAAATGCCTCTTGGTTCAAAGGGGCCTGAAACAAATGATTTTTCATCCTGATGCTAGTTTTTTCTAATGATCCTCTAGGAAAATCTATGTCAAGTTTTTATTTTGAGAAATCATTTTTGAACAAAGAAAACCGTATTTACCCAAAAACTTCTGTGATTTTTAAAACTAGCATCTATTGTCACAAAAACAAAATGTACTTGGTACTTAAGTGACGTATTTTTACCATCAGAGTTAAATGAATTTTACATACATTTATGCATCTGAATTCACATAATATTTACTTGCCAGTAAAATATATATTTTATTTGAAGTAACATAAAAACAACAATTAGTTTATTATTGCTTATATTTTAAACTGCTAATGTTATGTTAAAGTTATTTAAATAATTTATAGTCTTTATAGTCAGCTTAATGGTCTCAGCATAGTTTTGCTGCATTTGTGTTAAATTTTCCCAAATATTATTTGAACTCTTGACCACTCTGATCATAAGGTTAACATTCAAATCAACTTAAAAAATTATGTTTTACATGAACTTCATTAAAATTTAATATTAATGAGAATGAATAATGTGCTTAACTTACTTTAAGGCAAATATCCATTGTTACCTTTACTTAATATAAGTGAAGCAAAATATGTAGATTTGCTTTCAAATATTATGTCTCTTCTATCTGGTTCCTTACTATTTTGAAAAGTTCACTCTTTTATTGGTGAGACACATAAGATTTTAAATGATTAAGATCTCTTTGTCATGCTTATTGTTTGCTTACATTTTATATCCTTATCTGTCATTATGGAGTCAAATGTATCAGCCCTGAAGGAGGAATGTAGCTTATCTTAAATATGTTTTCAAAGTTGCATAAGGGTAAGAAATATTTTTAGGTCATGGATCTTCTGCTGAAGAGTTGAACAGGTATTTAAAATCCTTCACATTTGAAAATTTTGTAAGATAAAAAAAGTTTCTTTAAAAAAAAATAAATAAAATTATCTTTGTCATAAAAAATTGTCTTAAATATGGAACTTTTTATGTGTTTAAGTATTTTTTAACATTTTTCTAGCTTTGTTTCATAAACAGACATTAGACTGCTACCATGAAAATTAAATTTACTTAGATCATAAAAATAGTAAAATTGTAACAATATTAATAATATTAATGATGATAAAAAATAAAAAATTCCATAGTAATAATTGCAATTTTAAAGCATTTTATGTCTTAAGCTCTCTGCTATGCACTGTATATGAATTAACTTAATAAATCATTCTACTAAAATTGTGGGTACATACTGCACTAAATATAATGCTTTTTGCCTGAAAAAAACCCACAGAATCTCAACTCTGTAAGGGAAGTTTATTATCTCATATTGCAAAGATCTAAGAGGTCAGGAACTCCCAGAGTTGTTTAATTCAGTGATTGAATGATGTCAAGAGCCCTCCTTCGTTCCTTATGACTTTCCCTGCTCAGCATGGTGGCTTTGTTCCCAAGCTCCCTCCCTTCATGAGAGTAAAATGGCTATGACTCTGTATGCAAACAGAAGAACATCTGGTGGAAAATGGAGATAATTCTACTTGTGTGATTTTTTTTAAATGAGGGAAATTTCCCCATTTTCTTTCCAGCAGCCTTCTCCAAATATAAATATGACTATAGATACAAATATAAACGTGAATAAAATATATTATTATCTTTTAGTGGTAGAATCATGTAGTAGGATTCTCTAGAGGGACAGAACTAATAGAATATGCATATAGAGAGAGAGAGAGAAAGAGAGGAGTTTTTTAAGTAGTATTAGCTCACAAAATCAAAAGGTTCCACAATAAACCATCTGCAAGCTGAGGAGCAATGAGGCCAGTCTGAGGCCCAAAGCTGAAGAACTCGGAGTCTGAACTTGGGCAGGAAGCATCCAGCACAGGAGAAAGATGCAGGCTGAGAGACTAAGCCAGTCAAGCCTTTTCATGTTTTTCTGCCTGCTTTATATCCTGGCCATGCTGGCAGCTGATTAGATGGTGCCCACCCAGATTAAGGGTGGGTCTGCCTTTCTCAGGTCACTGACTCAAATGTTAATCTCCTTTGGCAACACCCTCACAGACACACCCAGTATCAGTAATTTGCATCCTTCAATCTAATGAAATTGACACTCAGCATTAACCATCACAAGTCTACCCCTTGTCAACTTGAACCCATACAAATCTCCTGAGATCATACATAATCTTCAAGTAAAGACAATAATAAGGTCATTTTCTTGGCCTGATGTTAAAGAGAAGGACTTTGCTAATTTTTTAAATGTCTTTTTTTTCTGTCATTTTTTTTTCTATTTAAGGTTAGTGATTTTAGAGCATATTTGAATGTGAAAGTAATGATCTAATATGTATACTGGATGAGACTAATAAAGTAGAGAAAACACAGGTGGTCGGGTGCGGTGGCTCACGCCTGTAATCCCAGGACTTTGGGAGGCCAAGGCAGGCAGATCACAAGGTCAGGAGATCGAGACCATCTTTGCTAACATGGTGAAACACCATCTCTACTACAAATACAAAAAATTAGCCAGGTGTGGTGGTGGGCACCTGTAGTCCCAGCTACTCGGGAGGCAGAGGCAGGAGAATGGCGTGAACCCCGGAGGCAGAAGTTACAGTGAGCTGAGATCGCGCCACTGCACTCCAGCCTGGGCAACAGAGTGAAACTCTGTCTCAAAAAAAAAAAAAAAAGAAAAAGAAAGAGAAAAAAGAAAAAAAAAAAAAAAGAAAACACAGATAACCAAGGACCAAGGGAGCAGCTTTAATAAGTCACTAATGGAGGACAACAAGAACAATTAGATGGATATTTTTCTTTGACAGAAAAAAAAAATCCCTTAAAATGAAACGAATGCAAAAACATACTCAGTAAAGTTTGGAACATTATTCCTGGAAACTGATGCAGCTTTTTAATTCTTTCTCACAAGGGCTGATGGTTTAGGTTAATAGATTAACCTGTGAATTAGGTTAATAGGTTATTATTTGAAAGTGAGGAGGAAGAGAAAAAAATGAGTGGATAATTCAAAGATTAGTGAAATAGTATGTATGTATAATAAGTAGAAAAATGTGTTGTTCTCAGATATTAACAGGAGAGAATTCAGTATTGGTATCTGATATCCAATGTTATAAAAGCAATTATTATCCTAACTATGTAATGACAAGCTATTATTTTTCCTAGATTAGCACTTACATACATGAATCACAAAATACAACTTTGGAAAAGCTCCTATAGCCTTCTATACCAATTTTTTTCCAAACATATCATACCTAAATTAGATATATTCTGGCAAGCTTGCATATTTTCAAATATGTCTTAATCTGTAATGCTTTTGAATTACTTTTTCTTTTTAATAATAACTGCAAAGAATTTAGTATTAGCTTATTCTGGATCCAAGTATTTCTACCTTGGCCCTATTATGGATTAGATAATATTTTGTCGCTGTTGCAGAGTCTGTTCTGTTCATTTTTGGATGTTCAGGATTATACTCAGCCTAACTTGCTAGATATAATAGCACTCCTTACTTCTGACTCTGAAAACTGGAAAAAATAATCTTCTGCCATTGCCAGTGTCCTCTGGAGAGCCAAACTGGCCCACGTTGAGAGCCACAGTTGTGGTTTACAGAAACAACTACTTTTAAGAGACCCACATTCTATGCTTTTGATGCTTGTTTTTATTTGTAGTGACAATTATCCAGGCCCCAATGACATAAGGTTAACTGTTGTAGGCTACTGAGAAAATAACAATGATTGGATTAATAAGTAAATTATGTGTTGCTACCAATTTAGGGCCACGTGCCATGCTGTACTGAAATGTTTCTCAGTCTCTAAAATCAAAAACCAAATCACCTGTCCAGACAGACTTTGCCAAAAACAAAACAAAACACAATTTGTAGAACTGTCATAAAGCTCTTAATGGACTCACATTTTATCTTTAAAATGTTATAGTCTGCCCAATATATTAATCTGTTTGTAGTCGCATAGATGATTACTTAAGTTCTTGTTTCCCAACATTTTTGTTCACACCTTTATTATTATCCTCAATGTTAATTTTCCATTGTTTTATTCACCCTTTTATTTTTCACATGTTTCTTCTCACAGACTAATCATCTTCAAGTTGACTGTAATAATTAAAATATTGTTCTGTGGAAAATGTTACTATAAATCATCATACACTTACATACCTTGAATACACTTACATTACCTTGAAACATGAGTGTGTCATAATGAAAATGTGACTAAAACAAACATTTAGTGCTTAAGTGGCATCCAAATTTCAGTCTGTTTAGTGGCATAAGGAAATTACATGCTCCTATCAAAAAATATAAAAGTTTATATTAAGAAGCCAGAGTGCCATTGTGCTTTAATCAGGCTTTCATCTAAATGGAAATGAGCAGGACTAATTACTTAGAATTCAAATGCTGAGCTGAACCAGGCCTTTTATAAAATAACTGGTTATTTTTACAGTGCCAAGGTAAGGAACTATCCTGTAAAATAAATCCATCTACAACATAAGTAGATTTAGTAGTTACAAAGATGATAAGTTCGTTGCTGTTCTTAGATATACATTAAAATATTTATCCCAAAATGCTCAAAATAATACTTTTTAATATTTGTAACTATGACACATTAAGAAAACGTTAAAAGGGACCAATATTTTGGTACTATCATTCATAGTATTTGCTTCTACTTTATTTCTGTAATGTGAATGGAGGCATCAGACAAGGATATTGATCCTCTAAAAAAGCTTGTGTAATACACAGAAACACTGCACACAAATATTTGGAAAACATAAACATACAGATCTATTCATGTATAATTAATTTTCGGGAATGACACTTTCTACATTCAGACTTAATAAAAATATTTATACGGCCTTTCTTTTATTTAAAAAAATCTGAATTACAATTACAATCACAATCACATTGCTTAGCAAATTAGTTTAAAACACTTGATCCAGTGTTTGGAGGCTACTATGACAAAAATCAAATCTCCCCCAAATGCACATATATATGCATCAAACCAGATAGGGACACAAACAAGCATAACTTTCCACTCTTAGTTCTCACCAGGGGACTTTATGACTGTAAAGATCAGGCCTTCAGCAGCTCAAAATGACCATCTTAACACCATCTTGCAGGCACTCGGGATAAGAACTTGGCTTTTACTCCCGAAGACTCTGCCACATCAAAGGCCCTTCCTTGTAAGACCTATAGACCCTCCGGCCCAGACCATCACTCCTTTTATCTTCTTTGCTCCTCCAGAGCTGGTTTATTAATCTTTTCTCCTATCTCTTTTTCCCTTTGATATTAAATGTTACCTTGTTTGTAGTGGAATGTTTGCTTTATAACATGTATGTATTAAGTATACTATTATGTATGGTTTGCCATACGGACTGACTTGTGGCGTGGCTTGACCCTGTGTGAATGCAGCTCTGCCTACTGAGTGAATGGGAAGTACTAAGAAGAACTGCCTCCTTGGGAACCTCATGTGGCTCGTGGCTTTCGTGATTGAAATTGCATCAATCAAAGCCTGGCATTGTGGAAAGACACAAACACGCATGGACCCGGTGATCTCTGATTTTGCACAGCTCATGACAGCATTGTTTTTCCTCCAAAGAACCCACCAGTTCTTTATAGACCAGAATAATGGTGTCTTTTCCATCTATGGCTCTGTCATCATCCAGGACCTCACTGTCTAGAGATGGATAGTTGAAGTAAAAAGGCTTTGAAGAAAAACATGGGACGGTTTTACATGCCCAAAGTGGAAGTGAAAGAGGTGTTAGTTGCACACATTGTATTTGAGAGAACTTGGCCACAGGGCCACACTGAATGTCAAGGTGGCTGGCAAATATGGTCTAGCTACATGATAAAAATGAGAAGAAAGAATTTGGTGGTTTTGTGGTTTCTGCCCTAAACCTCTGAACAGATTTCCAGCAACTGGACTGTAAGGCTGAAGGAACTAGTCCTGCTTGAAAATTCCTGACAGAAAAATATCTGGTAAATTAGATTTATTTTCTATTAGTAGTACTTAGCTCTATTGTGGGGCAACATACCACTATTGAAAAAAGCTCCAACACACTCTAATGAATCTTGTTCTCTATTTAGATGATTCTTCCCATGAGCCACATACCTAGAGAGAAGCTCTAGAGTCTCATAATTGAACACACTTGTGTTCAGAGATTAGAACTCTTGTACACATCCACATTCAGCCACTATTCAGGAGTATTATCACTATGCCTGGGTAGCTGGTGCTGCAAGGACTCCAAAGCTTAACCATTTACTGATATTCTAGATAAAACTACAGACTGTAGAGATATTTCTGGATCTCACAAAAAGATGTTCCCTTTCTTCCTTTTGAGAACCTCTCTCAGGTCCTTGGAGCCTTTAATGCAAGTGGATATCGTTCTGAACAATCTACGTTCATTTGAGATATTTTAATAAAGTTTCCACTAAAAATAGAAGATGTGAGGGTCATGATTTATAAAAACACCAGCTCCCACCCCCTGACCCCAGCCTCTTTAACACTATGCAATACTATGCATTCTTGCCATTGCAACCACTTTATAAAGCAAAGGGTCTCTGAAGCAGCAGCCTTATCAGACTGCGAGTCTTTTGTATCTTTCCCTCAGGCAAAAAGACTCCTAATTGCATTGACACTGAGAAGAAACCGTGACGTAAAAGGAAGTCTGAAGAAGAAAAATTATTGAAGGACACTTTGCATTTTCCACTATGCACAAAAACTTTAGTGATTTTTCTAGCAATAAATAAAAGAACAAATTGCTTATCTTGCCAGGCATCCTATTATACTTGAATACATTAAATTCGCTGGTTCTTATCCTCAATTAGGTGCCCAAGACATAACTCTCTATACTTTCCATTCTATAATAACTGGCTTGGTATTTTTATGTCTATTTCCTTTTCATAATCTACAAGCTCCAAGAGGAAGCTGCACAATGCATTGTATTTATCACATTTTCATTGTCTAGCACAGTGCCTGGCATAATGTAGATACATAACGTAGAACTCTAACATAGCTGACTTCATCTTGCTTCTGATGTCACAAGATAACTGCCTTTGCTCCTTCCTGCATGGTGAACAAACTAAATTCCTATGGGAGGAGTTTAGTTTATAGTTTAACTATAGTTTTAGTTTATAGTCTAACTATAGTTTTACTTTATAGTTTAACTTTAAAACAAATGATAATAGTCCCTTCCCTAAACTAACTGCTGAGGAAATAAGGAGATGGTACACAAAAGTAACAATATAATGTTACAGATTTATAGAAGCATCGTGACCTGACCAAGGCCAAAGAAATTATGCGACCCCCCTCAGACACCTGCTGATGCACAAATATCTGGTCACCTGTTCCCTCTTCAACTCATCCTCCTCATTGTTCTCCCTTCCCAATATAAAAAGAAGCATGAGATTTAGGCCTTTTAAGATGACTCTTCAGGACACTAGTCTTCCATTTCTTGGCTTGCTCCTCTTCAACACAAAGTTGCTTTCCTTGGTCTAACACCTTATTGGCTATTGTGTGGCAAGTAGTACGAGCTTTGGACTCGGCTAGAGATACACAATCAATATGCCTTAACTAGATGAATGTATCAAAATCTCACCATTAGTGAACTGAGGCAATTCTTAAAGGTTTAGTGCTTTATCACTTCATACTGTCTTTTTTTCAAGGTGCATGAAGTAGAAATTAGCCCTTTCTGAACATTGTTATATGTTTGCATAATGAGAAAAAATAACAAATAATAAGAATGATAGATTGAATTTGTCTTCATATGAAACAGCTCTCAATGCATGAAACAAGAAATAAAAATACAGCTTGGTTCAGTGACTGCCTGAATCTCCCTTAGCTCATCTTTAAAAATGAAACTGTGAGTTTTATCTTATCACATTAATTTACTAGTAATTTTAGTTTGAGTAAATGGTCAAACACAGTTGGCATTTAACATAAAGCACAGAAGTAAAGATTGCAATCTTTTAAATACGTTTTAGACTTATCAGGCAAAGCATTTTTCTTGCATATTGCTGTCAGGAATATTTGTTAGGGGTAATTTTATATTGTTGTTGCTGGTAAAAATTGAAAAACTCCGTAAGTTAATTGGGAAGTAAATTAAGAATCTGCAAGTGAGAAATACAGAATCAAATGTTCACTTCACAAAAAAAACCTTTGCATTGTGATTAATGACATTGGTTTACAGTAATCATTATTTCTCACAAATTAGTTCTTCATTGATTACCATAAAAATGCATTTGATTGGTGTTTGCATGAGTTTACTCAGTTTTACCTCTCAATTTCCATCTCACACAAACAAAGCCATAAAAGATATTAAGAAGGAGAGAAGGAAGAGAAAGAACTGTAAAAGAGGAAGGAGGTAAGGGATGAACAGTTACATAAAGGGGGGAATGTACATTATTTGCGTGATGGTACACTGAAATCCCAGACTCCACCAAGACACAATATATTTGTGTAACAAAACTGCACTTGTACCCCTTAAATTTATGCAAATTTTTTAAAAAGAGGGAAGAGAAGAAAAAAACGGAGGGGAAAAAAGTTACATGAATTGTAAAAAATCTGTATGAAGAGCCATAGAAAGTTTGTCTTTGGGAATTCAGAGAAGCAGAGATTAAGCCAGGATTAGACCTGCAAGAGATTTATTGAGTAAAACAAGCACCGGGAATAATGCATAAGATGCAAAAGTAGACACAATATTCAGACCATTATGCAGGTGTGACTCCTGTGTAGGCAAGAGGGAAGTAATGACACTGGGGTGAAAGGTTCTTAACCTGCAAAGCAGTTCTGAGGGTGTTTTGGGCCAGTCCACTGGGAGTCCTCAAGCCAGTATTGCCATTTGAGGAGTGCCGCATGCTACATGAAGTTATCAGGCCTCTTAGCCCAAGCCTGCACATATACATCCTGATGGCCTGAGGCAACCGAAAAGTATAAAAGAAGTGGAAGTGCCAGCTCCTGTCTCAACTGATTGACCAACCTTAAGACATTCCATTATGACTTGTTCCTGCCCTGCCCCAACTGATCGATCGATTGACCTCGTGACATTCCTCTTTTGGACAATGAGTCTTATGATCTCCTCACCATTCACCTTGTGATCCCTCCTCAGCTGACAATAGATAACCACCTTTAACTGTAACTTTCCACTGCCTGCCCCAGTCCTATAAAACTGCCCCATCCCTATCTCCCTTTGCTGACTCCTGTCTCAGACTCAGCCCATTTGCACCCAAGTGAATAAACAGTCTTGTTGTTCACACAAAGCCTGTTGGTGGTCTCTTCACACGGACGCGCATGACAGAAGTACCTTGCCTTGATATCCTCTCTGTTTTCAGTCACTGAATGGAAGCAACCCACGAGCGTTGTGGACTAAGTGAATTCAGAGAGGTGGCAGCAGTTGATGTCAGACTATTCAGTAGGAAATCTGAGCAGTACATTTTATGGCCACCACAGGTCCATCCCTCATAGCTGAGAAATCTGCTTCTCCATGCAGGTTTGTGGATAAACTCCACATAATCCCTATTAAACTGTCTACTTGTGGGGAATCTTAGAAGAGAGGGAGTAGTAAGGAACCACACCCTGGATGCAGCAGTTCATTTTAAAGCTACAACTTGGCCTTCTCCTTTTTCACATTTACCAAACACTATTCTAATACCCTCCTCAACACTGGTCATCACTTTGTCGCAGTGCATTCTCTGGTGATGCAACTCCAAACTTCATTCCTGATATTTCTGAGCCCTTGGTAATGAGAAAGGAAAATGTCTTGGGTCCTTTCAAGCTGGGAACCACTCAGGCCAAATCTGCATCCCATTCTATTCAAGCCATCCCTTTGCTCACAGAGGTGGATGCATATTCTGATTGCCTTCTTTGGAAAGACTTATCAGAAACTCAAAAGAATACAACCATCTGTCTCTCACCTATATATGACCTGGAAGCCCCTGTGTCGGGACCTTGCTTTGAGCTGTCTCTGCCTTTCTGGACAGAGGTAATGTACTCCTTACATATTGATTGATGTTTCATACCTCCCTAAAATGTGTAAAACCAAGCATGTGGTCAGGACTTTCTGAGGCTGTGTCAAGGGTGTGTCCTCAACCTTGGCAAAATAAACTTTCTAAATTAACTGAGACCTGTCTCAAATTTTGGGGGTTCACGTTTTGGTAACCACGGGGGGGATTCTGAGCGGAGATGCCTCTGACCTTTGACAAATCTCTTTTCAGTGCTTGGTACCAGCATGAGCTAACTTCATGGCTCAAACAAATAGGACAATTTGCTGAGGAATGAGGGCATCCCCTCCAGAGAATGCCTGATCTCCCAAAATTTGGTCGAGATCTAAAGTTTATTTTGCTATAGAACTTTTTTTTGTTTTTGTTTTTGTTTTTGTTTTTGTTTTGGAGCTTTACTTGCTTCTGACGGGAAGGCAAGTTTTCCTGCTTCCATGATGATGGAAGGCAGGTAACTTTTTTTTTTTTTTTTGAGACGGAGTCTCGCTCTGTCGCCATCTGGGCTCACTGCAAGCTCCGCCCCCCGTTCACGCCATTTTCCTGCCTCAGCCTCCAGAGTAGCTGGGACTACAGGCGCCCGCCACCGCGCCCAGCTAATTTTTTGTATTTTTAGTAGAGACGGGATTTCACCGTGTTAGCCAGGATGGTCTCGACCTACTGACCTCGTAATCCGCCCGCCTCAGCATCCCAAAGTGCTGGGATTACAGGCATGAGCCACCGCTCCCGGCCCGGCAGGTAACTCGATGGAGTTTGAGCTCGCTTCCAACAGGGAAGATGAGTTTTCTGTTTTGTTTGTTTTTTCCTGCTTATAGGATGGTAGAGAGCAGTATACAGCCTGAGACCCATTACTAGGCAAGAAACTAGTTTGGGATTCTGTCTTGCAAATTATTTCTAAACGACTCAAGTTAGCATGAACAACCAGCTGGTGTAATTTCTGCTTACACTTAGAGTGTACAAAAATCGTATAATTTGTGTGATTATTGTTAGTTTAGCAGCATTTCGTCCTAGCTGAAATATGATAGCAAGTTTAAAAAACTAATTTTTTTTTGTTAAAGGAGCTCAATAGTTAAAAGTCAGCTTAATGAAAAGGCTAACATCCAAGATGTGTGTGTGCATGTGTGCATCTTTGTATTTTAAAAGCCTTCATGTTTTTGTTTTTTGTTTGTTTTTCTCTCCTAAGACCTTGTTTTTTGAGCCAAGGTTTTTTTTTCTCTCTCAGTTGACTGAATTCTGTTTCCACCTGATTTTTGACTAAAATAGTATTGCAATGGAGGCTATTCTTGGCTTTTTTTTTTTTTTTTTTTTTTTGAGACGGAGTCTTGCTCTGTCGCCCAGGCTGGAGTGTAGTGGCGCGATCTCAGCTCACTGCAAGCTCCGCCTCCCGGGTTCACGCCATTCTCCTGCCTCAGTCTCCCTAGTAGCTGGGACTACAGGCGCCCGCCACCATACCCGGGTAATTTTTAGTATATTTAGTAGAGATGGGGTTTCACCGTGTTAGCCAGGATGGTCTCGATCTCCTGACCTTGTGATCTGTCTGCCTCAGCCTCCCAAAGTGCTGGGATTACAGGTGTGAGCCACTGCACCTGGCCTATTCTTGGATTTTTAAGGAAGAATATAGTTTATACACTCAGAATCTATGTCCTTAAGAAAAAAAAAAGTCAGTGCACTGTAAAAATGTCTCCCTCTAGCACCACCAAACTTTTTCTCTCTATACCTTTATGACGTAAATTTTGCTATTTGATTTTCATCGGAGTGTTTCTTTTAATATGCAAATTTAAGGCTATTTAGCTGACAACTGCCTAGAGTTGTAAAACAGGCTATCAAGTATCTGAAAGTCTAAGATAGAAGAAAAAAAGTGGGAGGGGTTCTTTATGAATCTATAAAATGTACTTCCATTGGCAGGCCTAATAAATTTGTGTATGTATTTATGTGTTGTGTACAGAATGTTTCACTACTAAAAATATGTAAAAGAGTTCTAATTAATTGGCTTAAAGAAAAATAAAATCAGTAAATTAGATACTAAAAAAGACTAGTCAAAGGCATCGTCAAGTTTATGTAACTTAAGTAAAATCTTTAATAAGTAAGCTAGCTTTAAAATTATTGCTAAAGTAATATTACAAATGTTTTAAGAATTTCCAGCATACATTTCTGTTTGCATTTATTAATCAAGCAATTTCATACTCATCCCTGCCAAATACTATAAAGTCTCAAAATTTGGCACAGGGGTTAGAAAACTATGAACCCAGCCCAAATCAAAATGATCTTTGCTTATGTCATTTTTAATAAATAAAACATTGATATGGCTTTAATGAAAATAGCTGCATCTTGAATTTAGTAAGATTACCATAACTTCTAATCCATAACGTCTAATAGACTGCTTTAGGCAGTCTAGTCCACAGACAATAATGAAATTTGTTTTGGGAAAGGAATGTTGTCACCTTTTGTTCAAAGCTAAATAATAAACTAAGTTCCTCCCAAAGTTAGTTCCGTCTATGCCCAGGCGTGAACAAGGATGGCTTGGAGGTTATGAGCACGATGGAGCCAGTTATGTCAAATCTTTTTTTCATTGTCTTTGTTATAATTTTGCAATGGTGATTTCAGAACTTCAAATTATAACTATCACAGTTTTCATAAATAATCTAGGTAAATAATTAAAATAAAATAATTAGGCAAATATAATGGGATAAATACTTGTAGACAAACTGGTTATAATTTAGAATATAAAGTTACATTAAATTAAATAATAATATTCCATTATTTGGGTGTTTGGGTGTTTTCTAATAAATATATATTGTAGGAAAACATTCTTGCTAAATAAAAGAAAATGAAAATGTATGTTTTTTTTTCCAAAAAAAAAAAAAAAAAGGTGAACAAATTTTGTCTGATTAAAAGCTCATTTAAGGGTTATGTATAAAACAAGGTAAAAGGAACCAGGAAAAAAAATGCGAAGAAAGTTATAAAAATAAAGAGGTATTTTTTTGAGGTATAAAAGCTTAAAGAAAAAATAATTTTGTATAAGAAAGAATCTTGTATGGTAAATTTAGTCCTAAAATAAAATAATGGTTGTTTAAAAAGGATGGATATTCAGAACAAATCAGAAAGCCCCACCGTGTCATGAACAGTCAGTGTAAGTCACAATAAGAGGATTTATACATATGTGAAAAAAACTTTTATAATTGTCCTATTATTATTAAGTTTTGTTTTGCTTAGGAAAAAAAACTGAGATTTTTTTTAAAGTTAAGGTTATTACATTTATGCATCTTCCTGTATACGTTTTTAGAGTCTTTGTAACATTGAGTTCCAGGGCTTTTGATTCTTGGGTCTAAAAAGGACACCAAGTTCTGCTAAATCTTAAACACTGATAGCAATTAAATTCTCATCTTCAGGCCCCCTAGAAGATGCCAATCAAAATAAACTGCATTCTTGAGACACAGGGCAAGAAATTAAAGCTATCCACCTCCTCAAGGCCCAGGGACTACGTGGAAGAGGTAGGCATGTAAGATTTTAAGGGTGGATTTTAAAAGATAAAATAAGTTCAATTCCTCCATAAATTAATTATTAATGTCAAAGGCACACTGATGCAAAACCAGTATATGGACCCGTGTATCATACTAACAAGGTTTTCATGAAGCATTAACCAACTCCTTAATAAAGGTTATAAAGGTTATAAAAGGCTTATGGAAGTTATATTTTGTAATCAAGATTAATAGATTGTTTATAAAAGTTTGAAAAACAAATGTAATTGGCTTCATGCTGTTTTTGTTTTTGTTTTTGTTTTTGTTTTTTGTTTTTGTTTTTTTTTATTATACTTTAAGTTTTAGGGTACATGTGCACATTGTGCAGGTTAGTTACATATGTATACATGTGCCATGCTGGTGCGCTGCACCCACTAACTCGTCATCTAGCATTAGGTATATCTCCCAATGCTATCCCTCCCCCCTCCCCCCACCCCACCACAGTCCCCAGAGTGTGATATTCCCCTTCCTGTGTCCATGTGATCTCATTGTTCAATTCCCACCTATGAGTGAGAATATGTGGTGTTTGGTTTTTTGTTCTTGTGATAGTTTACTGAGAATGATGATTTCCAATTTCATCCATGTCCCTACAAAGGACACGAACTCATCATTTTTTATGGCTGCATAGTATTCCATGGTGTATCTGTGCCACATTTTCTTAATCCAGTCTATCATTGTTGGACATTTGGGTTGGTTCCAAGTCTTTGCTATTGTGAATAATGCTGCAATAAACATACATGTGCATGTGTCTTTATAGCAGCATGATTTATAGTCATTTGGGTATATACCCAGTAATGGGATGGCTGGGTCAAATGGTATTTCTAGTTCTAGATCCCTGAGGAATCGCCACACTGACTTCCACAATGGTTGAACTAGTTTACAGTCCCACCAACAGTGTAAAAGTGTTCCTATTTCTCCACATCCTCTCCAGCACCTGTTGTTTCCTGACTTTTTAATGATTGCCATTCTAACTGGTGTGAGATGGTATCTCATTGTGGTTTTGATTTTCATTTCTCTGATGGCCAGTGATGATGAGCATTTTTTCATGTGTTTCTTGGCTGCATAAATGTCTTCTTTTGAGAAGTGTCTGTTCATGTCCTTCACCCACTTTTTGATGGGGTTGTTTGTTTTTTTCTTGTAAATTTGTTTGAGTTCATTGTAGATTCTGGATATTAGCCCTTTGTCAGATGAGTAGGTTGCGAAAATTTTCTCCCATTTTGTAGGTTGCCTGTTCACTCTGATGGTAGTTTCTTTTGCTGTGCAGAAGCTCTTTAGTTTAATGAGATCCCATTTGTCAATTTTGGCTTTTGTTGCCATTGCTTTTGGTGTTTTGGACATGAAGTCCTTGCCCATGCCTATGTCCTGAATGGTAATGCCTAGGTTTTCTTCTAGGGTTTTTATGGTTTTAGGTCTAACGTTTAAATCTTTAATCCATCTTGAATTGATTTTTGTATAAGGTGTAAGGAAGGGATCCAGTTTCAGCTCTCTCCATATGGCTAGCCAGTTTTCCCAGCACCATTTATTAAATAGGGAATCCTTTCCCCATTGCTTGTTTTTGTCAGGTTTGTCAAAGATCAGATAGTTGTAGATATGCGGCGTTATTTCTGAGGGCTCTGTTCTGTTCCATTGATCTATATCTCTGTTTTGGTACCAGTACCATGCTGTTTTGGTTACTGTAGCCTTGTAGTATAGTTTGAAGTCAGGTAGCGTGATGCCTCCAGCTTTGTTCTTTTGGCTTAGGATTGACTTGGCGATGCAGGCTCTTTTTTGGTTCCATATGAACTTTAAAGTAGTTTTTTCCAATTCTGTGAGGAAAGTCATTGGTAGCTTTATGGGGATGGCATTGAATCTGTAAATTACCTTGGGCAGTATGGCCATTTTCACGATATTGATTCTTCCTACCCATGAGCATGGAATGTTCTTCCATTTGTTTGTATCCTCTTTTATTTCCTTGAGCAGTGGTTTGTAGTTCTCCTTGAAGAGGTCCTTCACATCCCTTGTAAGTTGGATTCCTAGGTATTTTATTCTCTTTGAAGCAATTGTGAATGGGAGTTCACTCATGATTTGGCTCTCTGTTTGTCTGTTGTTGGTGTATAAGAATGCTTGTGATTTTTGTACATTGATTTTGTATCCTGAGACTTTGCTGAAGTTGCTTATCAGCTTAAGGAGATTTTGGGCTGAAACAATGGGGTTTTCTAGATATACAATCATGTCGTCTGCAAACAGGGACAATTTGACTTCCTCTTTTCCTAATTGAATACCCTTTATTTCCTTCTCCTGCCTAATTGTCCTGGCCAGAACTTCCAACACTATGTTGAATAGGAGTGGTGAGAGAGGGCATCCCTGTCTTGTGCCAGTTTTCAAAGGGAATGCTTCCAGTTTTTGCCCATTTAGTATGATATTGGCTGTGGGTTTGTCATAGATAGCTCTTATTATTTTGAAATACGTCCCATCAATACCTAATTCATTGAGAGTTTTTAGCATGAAGGTTTGTTGAATTTTGTCAAAGGCTTTTTCTGCATCTATTGAGATAATCATGTGGTTTTTGTCTTTGGCTCTGTTTATATGCTGGATTACATTTATTGATTTGTGTATATTGAACCAGCCTTGCATCCCAGGGATGAAGCCCACTTGATCAAGGTGGATAAGCTTTTTGATGTGCTGCTGGATTCGTTTTGCCAGTATTTTATTGAGGATTTTTGCATCAATGTTCATCAAGGATATTGGTCTAAAATTCTCTTTTTTGGTTGTGTCTCTGCCCGGCTTTGGTATCAGAATGATGCTGGCCTCATAAAATGAGTTAGGGAGGATTCCCTCTTTTTCTATTGATTGGAATAGTTTCAGAAGGAATGGTACCAGTTCCTCCTTGTACCTCTGGTAGAATTCAGCTGTGAATCCATCTGGTCCTGGACTCTTTTTGGTTGGTAAACTATCAATTATTGCCACAATTTCAGCTCCTGTTATTGGTCTATTCAGAGATTCAACTTCTTCCTGGTTTAGTCTTGGGAGAGTGTATGTGTTGAGGAATTTATCCATTTCTTCTAGATTTTCTAGTTTATTTGCGTAGAGGTGTTTGTAGTATTCTCTGATGGTAGTTTGTATTTCTGTGGGATCAGTGGTGATATCCCCTTTATCATTTTTTATTGTGTCTATTTGATTCTTCTCTCTTTTTTTCTTTATTAGTCTTGCTAGTGGTCTATCAATTTTGTTGATCCTTTCAAAAAACCAGCTCCTGGATTCATTGATTTTTTGAAGGGTTTTTTGTGTCTCTATTTCCTTCAGTTCTGCTCTGATTTTAGTTATTTCTTGCCTTCTGCTAGCTTTTGAATGTGTTTGCTCTTGCTTTTCTAGTTCTTTTAATTGTGATGTTAGGGTGTCAATTTTGGATCTTTCCTGCTTTCTCTTGTGGGCATTTAGTGCTATAAATTTCCCTCTACACACTGCTTTGAATGCGTCCCAGAGATTCTGGTATGTTGTGTCTTTGTTCTCGTTGGTTTCAAAGAACATCTTTATTTCTGCCTTCATTTCGTTATGTACCCAGTAGTCATTCAGGAGCAGGTTGTTCAGTTTCCATGTAGTTGAGCGGCTTTGAGTGAGATTCTTAATCCTGAGTTCTAGTTTGATTGCATTGTGGTCTGAGAGATAGTTTGTTATAATTTCTGTTCTTTTACATTTGCTGAGGAGAGCTTTACTTCCAACTATGCGGTCAATTTTGGAATAGGTATGGTGTGGTGCTGAAAAAAATGTATATTCTGTTGATTTGGGGTGGAGAGTTCTGTAGATGTCTATTAGGTCCACTTGGTGCAGAGCTGAGTTCAATTCCTGGGTATCCTTGTTGACTTTCTGTCTCGTTGATCTGTCTAATGTTGACAGTGGGGTGTTAAAGTCTCCCATTATTAATGTGTGGGAGTCTAAGTCTCTTTGTAGGTCACTCAGGACTTGCTTTATGAATCTGGGTGCTCCTGTATTGGGTGCATATATATTTAGGATAGTTAGCTCTTCTTGTTGAATTGATCCCTTTACCATTATGTAATGGCCTTCTTTGTCTCTTTTGATCTTTGTTGGTTTAAAGTCTGTTTTATCAGAGACTAGGATTGCAACCCCTTCCTTTTTTTGTTTTCCATTTGCTTGGTAGATCTTCCTCCATCCTTTTATTTTGAGCCTATGTGTGTCTCTGCACGTGAGATGGGTTTCCTGGATACAGCACACTGATGGGTCTTGACTCTTTATCCAATTTGCCAGTCTGTGTCTTTTAATTGGAGCATTTAGTCCATTTACATTTAAAGTTAATATTGTTATGTGTGAATTTGATCCTGTCATTATGATGTTAGCTGGTGATTTTGCTCGTTAGTTGATGCAGTTTCTTCCTAGTCTCGATGGTCTTTACATTTTGGCATGATTTTGCAGTGGCTGGTACCGGTTGTTCCTTTCCATGTTTAGCACTTCCTTCAGGAGCTCTTTTAGGGCAGGCCTAGTGGTGACAAAATCTCTCAGCATTTGCTTGTCTGTGAAGTATTTTATTTCTCCTTCACTTATGAAGCTTAGTTTGGCTGGATATGAAATTCTGGGTTGAAAATTCTTTTCTTTAAGAATGTTGAATATTGGCCCCCACTCTCTTCTGGCTTGTAGGGTTTCTGCCGAGAGATCCGCTGTTAGTCTGATGGGCTTCCCTTTGAGGGTAACCCGACCTTTCTCTCTGGCTGCCCTTAACATTTTTTCCTTCATTTCAACTTTGGTGAATCTGACAATTATGTGTCTTGGAGTTGCTCTTCTTGAGGAGTATCTTTGTGGCGTTCTCTGTATTTCCTGAATCTGAACGTTGGCCTGCCTTGCTAGATTGGGGAAGTTCTCCTGGATAATATCCTGCAGAGTGTTTTCCAACTTGGTTCCATTCTCCCCATCACTTTCAGGTACACCAATCAGACGTAGATTTGTTCTTTTCACATAGTCCCATATTTCTTGGAGGCTTTGCTCATTTCTTTTTATTCTTTTTTCTCTAACCTTCCCTTCTCACTTCATTGCATTCATTTCATCTTCCATTGCTGATACCCTTTCTTCCAGTTGATCGCATCGGCTCCTGAGGCTTCTGCATTCTTCACGTAGTTCTCGAGCCTTGGTTTTCAGCTCCATCAGCTCCTTTAAGCACTTCTCTGTATTGGTTATTCTAGTTATACATTCTTCTAAATTTTTTTCAAAGTTTTCAACTTCTTTGCCTTTGGTTTGAATGTCCTCCCGTAGCTCAGAGTAATTTGATCGTCTGAAGCCTTCTTCTCTCAGCTCGTCAAAGTCATTCTCCATCCAGCTTTGATCCGTTGCTGGTGAGGAACTGCATTCCTTTGGAGGAGGAGAGGCGCTCTGCATTTTAGAGTTTCCAGTTTTTCTGTTCTGTTTTTTCCCCATCTTTGTGGTTTTATCTACTTTTGGTCTTTGATGATGGTGATGTACAGATGGGTTTTCGGTGTGGATGTCCTTTCTGTTTGTTAGTTTTCCTTCTAACAGACAGGACCCTCAGCTGCAGGTCTGTTGGAATACCCTGCAGTGTGAGGTGTCAGTGTGCCCCTGCTGGGGGGTGCCTCCCAGTTAGGCTGCTCGGGGGTCAGGGGTCAGGGACCCACTTGAGGAGGCAGTCTGCCCGTTCTCAGATCTCCAGCTGCGTGCTGGGAGAACCACTGCTCTCTTCAAAGCTGTCAGACAGGGACACTTAAGTCTGCAGAGGTTACTGCTGTCTTTTTGTTTGTCTGTGCCCTGCCCCCAGAGGTGGAGCCTACAGAGGCAGGCAGGCCTCCTTGAGCTGTTGTAGGCTCCACCCAGTTCAAGCTTCCTGGCTGCTTTGTTTACCTAAGCAAGCCTGGGCAATGGCGGACGCCCCTCCCCCAGCCTCGCTGCCACCTTGCAGTTTGATCTCAGACTGCTGTGCTAGCAATCAGCGAGATTCCGTGGGCGTAGGACCCTCCGAGACAGGTGTGGGATATAATCTCATGGTTCGCCACTTTTTAAGCCGGTCTGAAAAGCGCAATATTTGGGTGGGAGTGACCCGATTTTCCAGGTGCGTCGGTCACCCCTTTCTTTGACTCGGAAAGGGAACTCCCTGACCCCTCGCGCTTCCCAGGTGAGGCAATGCCTCGCCCTGCTTCGGCTCGCGCACGGTGCGCGCACCCACTGACCTGCGCCCACTGTCTGGCACTCCCTAGTGAGAGAAACCCAGTACCTCAGATGGAAATGCAGAAATCACCCGTCTTCTGCGTCGCTCACGCTGGGAGCTGTAGACCGGAGCTGTTCCTATTCGGCCATCTTGGCTCCTCCCCTCTCATGCTGTTTTTATTAGGGCTTCTTGTTTAGAAAATTTAAGTCTCCTCTCTCAAAGAATGAAAGTTTTCACTTTTTTTGAAATCCTTGAATTATCGTTTTGGATAAATAAATGACTTTACAATGACCTTTAATCGTATTTTGTAATATCAAGCATTTTAAAACTTTTATATTTGACAAACTTACCAAAATCAAATTATGAATTGTGTCTTTTTCCAACTTAATCTTTTAAGACACTAGGTTCCCTGAAATCCAAAAATCACAGAATTTTTCTTACTTGGTATAAAAGTTATACAGAAAGCATTGTCAAATATGAAATGGTGTTTGGTTTTCTCTGGGCTGTATTTGTATAAATATGTTATTGATATGTGTAGCAAGATTATGGGAAACACCTGTAATTCTGATATAACTTAGTGTACATTATCAGTAGTAATCATAATTGTTATGTTAAAATTATTGTGTGCCACAGAAGTAACAAATTTTCCTTGTCAATTGTGTCTTTTAACTATAGCTGCCTTAAAGTTTTTTCATCCATGGACAATTGTTGCCTTGTTTTGGTTCTCTTTAGAAAGTGATTTTATAATCAGCTATGAATCTCCAACAGGTGTTCCTGAATGCAGGTTTCTGATAGCTTTGGAGACTGTGACATCAAAATAGAGAACAAACTTTCAGGACTTGTAGAAAGTGAAAATGTTCATGAGTATCAAGCAGAACAGGAATTAACTGCATGGACTGAACCAATCTTTTTGACGTTTTGCTTAATATGTTTGCTGATCCTTTGCTTTGTTTTTCAGAGTCTTAAAACTTTTCTTCTGAGCTATTGACAGCTTTTAACAATTTAGTATATTTCTATGAACAAAATTTGGAGCACATTTGTTTCTCTCTACCTGATTTCTCCAGAATTGGAAACTGCTTGTTAGTATTCTTAACTTATGGCAATACAGTTATTTGCATAAGTGCAATAAGGATCTGTTTTCATTTGTAACAGGTCACAATTGGAGAAACTGGTTATTTTACCAAGACTTTTACTGGAATGCTGTGCTTTCCCTTAAGGAATCAAACTTGACTTATGGAGCCAATAAAGCCCTTGGATAAACTGGCCTCATATTTTGTGTACACAGTTCCTGTACAAGGTTTCTGACCTGTGGCAAGTAAATAATGTCACTTTCTAACAGGTGCAGAAGCCCCAGGTTTGTCTTGAAACCTAAAGAGGAGAGGAAATTTCACCCAACTCATGGGTATTTGAAGGCACAATCCATGGCTGGGCTGGGCTTTAAAATGTCTTATCTGAGATTTCTCTTATTGAACAAAGTTCCATCAGAGCCAATTTAAAAGCCTATGTAAAAAAAATAATTATTCTTGCTGCAATGTATACAAATATTTAGGCCAAGTATAATAAGCAAACCAGTTCTACCATTATTTGTCTTTAGTAAAATGGAAAATGGAGAGAGAAAAAAAATTTCAAAATGATTGTATACCTGCTGTTAGATTCTAGTCTTTCCTAATGTTTTTTTTACAATTTTTATTATTTTCTACAGTTTGGACTGAATTCTAATTTTTCTTGGCTACAAGCCTTAAAATAATGCTTTCAATTTTTTTCCTTCTCCTTTTCATTTTTCCTAATTTGGAGTCACCAAAAACTAAGTTGTGCTTTTTTAAAACCCTGCAAACTGAAGATAGACAACTTAAACTTCAGAAGAAAATAACAGTAACCTATTTATATACATAAGCCACTTTCATACCTGCCTACTAATGTACGGATGTCAGAGTAATAAATGCCTTTCTCAAGCCAGCATTGCTATACCTGACCATTTATAGTTAAAAGGTGCAAGGATGTACAACGAAATGTTTAAATAACATAGGCATGAGGCCATCTTAATGATTCTGGAAATGACACCACATCTGAAACATAGACTCTGATCAGATTACAATTTAGTTGAGCTTGTGGCATTCTATATGCATGCTACAGGAACGTGCCAGTTTTAAAGGGGCCAGATTGACCAATGAAATGAAAATATGAGAGGCACAAAAATTTCCAAATTATTTAGGCCTTTAATGGCACCACTAATCTTTGCTATATCCTCTGAGATGAAATAAAATTTTGATACTCTATCTTGGCTAGGTAAGGGAAGACTTTGAGAAGTTTCCATTTGGCATTCCCCACTATAATAGCTCTTAACCTACAGGTCAAGGATTCTATCCAAGAGTTACTTCAACTCACAATATATAAATTCCAATTATACACTGGAGAACTGGGGAATTGACCTCTGGGGATCCAAAGGCCCAATGTGCATATTGTAAGTAAGGCTTAAGCCAGGGTTCCATTTATTACCTGGCCCCATAAGCTATGAAAGCACATTGGGCTTCTGGGAATATCTGTTTCCAAAAATGATGAAAATGTTTGCTTATGCCTCTTTGTTCAATTTGCAGTTGCCTGAATAAATGACCATAGGTCCCATAGGAGAAGAACTGAAGGAAAATATACTTATTGTGGTCTTGTGAAAACCCTTCTTCCTAGCTATCTGGCTGTCACCAGTAAATAGGCTTTATTTCTGATAATTGACACAATTCTGGGAACTGAGCAAGGAATCATGAATTTTTATTGAAGTGACCACCTTCATCTTCCTGCTCCTCTATTTCTGCCATTTTCTTATCGTAGATAGTAATTGGTACTTTGTTGCCTATATCTTTTGCCCCTAGGAACAGCATACTCAATTAACCATTTCTACCACTATCTGTGACAGGGTCATGCACCTTAGCTATCTTTCTGACCTTGGCATTTGTTACATAGTTGTGCCCTCAGGACTTCTACTGTGTGATAATTTCCCCCTCACTTCTATTATTTTGGAGCCCAAAATCCCTACAGATATTAATAATTTCAGCATTGTTACTGCCTTTCCTACCGTTGACTCCAGTCATACATAGAAGAGTCACCACTGAACTTTTAGTGATGCTGGTGTCCTCCTTGATACCCTAGGTGAAGAGTGTATACACTCTGAGTTTTCCTTTGAAACATTATCTACACTCTCCTAATTCTCCCACACTCATGTAATTATTTCAACCCGCATTTCCTCTTCCTTCAGCCTCTGTATTCTGCCATGACAATTCGGCCACGTGCGTGTTGCTCAGCATGTAGCTTTATTTTCGTCACTCTTTTAGAGCAGTGAGCTTGTCCTATTCCCTGGAGTCCCTTCCTGAACATTAAATCCTCATGTCCTGAGACACGTTTTTACTTATTAAATATTACATTTTAAGCTATATAAATCAAGTACTCTTAAAATGCCATCCCTGGGCTTCTCTCCTTACTCTTGCCGGGACTGCTAGCTAATCATTATAGTTTCTTTACTGAGTGGTCTCTCTCCTTTCTAATCAGGCCTAGCACATTCCCACCTGGATTGTGTTGAAATCTAATGCTAGTTATCAAGGTCTTGAGGCAGGGAAGTGATCACATTTGCCCTGATGAGAGAGGCCTCTACACTAAGAGCCTGACAAAGCCCTAGCTCTCACTAGGGTTGGGTGGAAAATCATGATCCCCACAAACTCTTAAGGTTCAAGATATTCAGCAGAGACAGGTGCTTTCATCGCATCTATCTAGATATCCAGTCTAGATGTCCCTTCCCATATCCGAGGTTCTCAGAAGTTATAACAATGGCCCTACTTTCTCATTATCTCTCTGCAGAGCATCAATACATCTAACAAAAAATTCAGCTCATCATTCCTTGAAGGCATTGATCTCCCAAATCTTTAAAAATCCTGAATCATTGCAACCTCAATGGCAGACCCTTACTGGAGCATTTTCTCTGGTCACTACAGGTGAAAGCATAAGCAATTGGACCCCCCCATCTTGCTCTGGGGACAATCTATGTCCCACCTACCACACAAGATAGCATATACCTGCCAGGTGATAAGTAATCCAATCCCTAAGTCCTGTCCTATTGTCTTTTTCTTGAGCCTCTACTGGTACTTGAGCCAGCTGAGGTCCTCTGAAGGGGATTTGGTGTGAAAGGATTTTACTGAGGAAATGTATTAGTAAAGGTTCTCCAGAGAAACAGATACACACACACACACACACACACAGAGAGAGAGAGAGAGAGAGAAAGAGAAAGAGAAATGTATTACGAGGGATTGGCTCACATGATTATGGAGGCTGAGAAGTCTTACGATCTACCATTGTCAAGCCAGAAGCCCAGAAGGGCTGATGCTGTGGTTCCAGTAGAAACCCCAAAGCTTCAGAATCAGGGGAGCCAATGGAGAAAGTCCCAGTCCAAGTCTGAAGGCCTAAGAACCAAGAGAGGCAACGTCAAAGTTGCCTCTGTAGAGGGGAATATAGATGTCCAAGTTTAAGCACAGAGAACAAATTATTTGTCCTTCCTCAGCCTGTTAGTTCTACTTAGTCTTTCAATGGATTGGATGATTACTACCCACATTGGAGAGAGTCATTTTCTTAACTTAGTCCACCAATTCAAATGCTAATCTCTTCCAACAATGCCCTCATAGACATACCCAGAATACTGTTTTACCACTATCTGGGCATCTCTTAGACCAATTACGTTCACATATAAAATTCATCATCACAGGAAGATACCTGCAAAAGATTAAGGAGAAGTACACAAGGAGAGGCATCAGAGATTAATGAAGAGAAGAAACGTGCAAAATGAAGCATAGAAAGAAAAAAATTGGAAAGGAAGTATCTTAGACTGTAATTTAGATCTGAGGAAGTTTTATCGAAGTCCATGGGAAGTCCCAAGCTGTGCTTTTTAGAGTCAGGGGTGCATGTACCATGTCAGGCTCAACTGTACAATGACTACCACACTTAGTACCAAGACTACAGGCTCGGTCTGGAAATCATGTTCTTAATGCAAATATGGTGACAGTTCCAGAAGTGTGGCCTCACAGCAAGAGATATGAGTGGAGCATTTTCATGGGCCACCACGTTGTTGAATCACTAATATATATTCTTAAAGAAGGTGATTTAAAATACCTAGTGTGTGATTTTTTAAAATTTATACACTTCTTTCTTTCTTTACTTTCTTTTTTCTTCTTTTTCTCCTTTCTCTTTTTCTCTCATATATATATATATATAGAATTACATATATATTACATACATATATATTGTTACATACACATATATGTAATTCTTCCCATAAAATTGTGAGCAAGTTCAAAAACATTATTTTGAAGATTAAAATTTGGTTGCTTACAAATTAGTATTTTATTTTTAAATTTTCTGCTGAACTTAACAAAAATTGTTTAAAAGCCAATGTTTTCTAAGAAGAATAATTGTAGATCTTTTTTTATAAAACATAAGCCTTCCTATTAAAAATTAATTTCTAACTGTGTGATCTCTGACATTAATTTAATAATTGATCACAGAAGCATCATATAGACATTGTATCTATATAGAAATTTCTATATAGATACAATGTCTACCCCTTTGATATATTAGGTTAATAAGGTGGTACTAACAGCAGTATAGAGTTATTGTTTCTGGGTTTATATGAGAGGAAAACAAAGAATGGGAAAAAAAAGAAAGGAAAGACAAAAAGAAGTGAAGAAAGGAAAGAAAAAGAAAGAGAAAGAAAGAAAGAAAGAAAGAAGGAGTTGTCCAACTCCTCATATGACAATAGATCAATGTGTATAATCATGCTTCCCAAAAGGAAGAAGCAAATAATTGGGGAAAATAAATACAATCTGTAATAAGCGAAGAAGTTGAAAAACAAAGAGAAAGATTAATTAGTACTTATTTTAAAGAATAGGCACAGTCCTACAGTTGACCAGAAATATAACTTGTTGTTTTATAAACTGCATTTATTTAATTTAAGGAATATTTATATATGTCTCTAGCCTCTACCATTTCCCAGCAAAAAATAAACAAATAAAAATAAAATAAAAAGGAGATTTTTGTTAAGGTCTTGTATTATTATTTCAATGTTTTTATCTAGAGTATGTTGAGAAGTATACCATTCGAAGTGTTGCAGAATGTGCATTTTATAGCAGTGATTTTTTTAAATTAACATAGGTGACTGGTACACAAAAATTAAATGAAAAAAATTTATTTAACTTTTGTTTTATATCTTAAGGTTAGGAATGTTAGGATTCCACAGATTTCTTATGAAGACAGTTGATAACTCTCATCCCCAAATATTGACATTTGTAACTCATGTTTCATGTCTTTTTCTTCCAACATTTTGTCATGGATGATCAGCAAATGTACCAGCTTTTGGCTGTGCAAGAATTTATAAACATAACAGTGGGATATTTAATAGTAAATTCTTTCTTTCTTTCTTCCTCCCTCTCTCTTTTTCTTTCTTTCTTCCTTCTTTCTTATAAATATATAACTTCTTTCTTATAAATATATAAACTTTATCACCAGCCTTATATTTTTTATAATTAAATGAAGAAAATGACAATTGTATATAAGTCCATAATATTAATATTTTCTAGTATTCTAAGATTCACTTTTCCACAAACATGTCTTAATCTTATTTTGTTTTCATTCTTGATACATCTCCTGTGTTCATACCACACTAATATATTTAGTTTATGAATAACAAAATGCACTTCAATTCCATGAATAGAGGTTTTCATTTATAACTGAATTGAATTCAGGCAATAATTTGTATTGCTTATCTATTTAAAACCACAACTCTATATATTTTAATTATCTATATGTCTACTGAAAAAAGATGTATCTGGAATCAACTAAATTGAATAAAATAAGTTGGACATATATTTTAATATGTAAAACACTTAAATATTTGTTATGGAAAATCAATTGTTTAAACAAAAGTTGTCAATATTAGTTGAAATCATTTCCAGTTAATTTATGTGTTTATTCGTCTTCATTAAATGAGACCTTACATATATATTATACAGACACACTTCCTATGTTCTCCAAACATAAGGAAATATTTCCTAAATTTTTATTTTTCAGTTTCCACTTGGATAGCTATTATTAAAATGTCTCCAGTAGCATTCTTAAAAACATTTAAAGTAATTTTCTCTCTTATTCCAGCATTTTCCTTTATTACTTGTAAAAGTTTAAACTACTAATATATCTGCGTTAATAAAAAATAGAAAAAAAGCTATAAATCACCAAGATTTGTTTCTAAAATGTACATCTCGTACTTGACATTTAAGACAAATGTCTTCTACCTTTTTAATATTTCATAGAAGCTGTTACTGAAAGGTCTAGTTCTTAACCTAAATATCTGGCTTTTATTCAAAGCTAAGGTTATCATTTTCCTTGAAATATGATTCCATCTGGGAATACTTACCGTAAATCTAATTGATTGATTAAACAACTCCTTAACGGTATAGTCTTGATGATACAAACATAAATGACTTCAAATAAAATTATAAATAACTAATGTAAAAAACTATATTGTATTAAAAGATCATTTATATATATTTTAAATGTATCTATACCAACAATTTTGTTTGCTTTTTTTATTCAGCTTCCAGAAAATATGGGAAAATCTGCAAATATCTATAATACTTAGTAAAATTAGTAATATTTTTCCTTGGGAAGGGAAGAAGCACTTGCTGAAAATCACTGTTAGGCAGACAGCTAGATAAGCTCTCTAGTTTTTATCATTTTATCACAACAATTCTCTAAAATAATTAGAACTATTCAATTTTTCTTAAGATGTAAGAAAGGAAAAGGAAAACAAATTTTTGAGAGCCAACTTTTCCAGCAAATATCTCTTTGTAAGAAAGTGGCAAAGTGACAATTCAAAACAGCGCTTCCTGGACTCACTTTTTTTTTTTTTTTTAATTTTTGTTTTTTGAGACAGAGCCTCCCTCTGTTGCCCAGGCTGGAGTGCAGTGGCGCGATCTCGGCTCACTGCAAGCTCCGCCTCCTGGGTTCACGCCATTCTCCTGCCTCAGCCTTCTGAGTAGCTGGGACTACAGGCCCCCGCCACCACGCCAGGCTAATTTTTTTGTATTTTTAGTAGAGAGGGGGTTTCACCATGTTAGCCAAGAAGGTCTCGATCTCCTGACCTCGTGATCCGCCCATCTCGGCCTCCCAAAGTGCTGGGATTACAGGCGTGAGCCACCGCGCCCGGCGCTGGACTCACTTAAAAAGAAAAAGACAAATTATACTGGTTCTATCTTCACTACTTTAAACTACTTAAATACAGTAAACATTTTTAATATTTTTGTCCTTATTTATATTCCTGCAAGATCCTTATTACTCCATTCAACAAATATGGATTAAACTTTATATATAAATGAACACTGATTTTTGACTGACAAAGGTGGCAATTTTATATGGTTATCCTAATATTTACTGAGTGTTTCTTGTATGAAGAGGATATAATACTCTAATTTCTTTTCTGTGTAATGAATACTGCAAAATTTTGTGGATTAAGACAACATTTAGTACCTAAATGTTTTTGAGAGTGAAGAATCCCATCATGGATTAACTGGTTCCTTCCTTTCAGGGTCTTTCATAGGCTACAATCCAAATGTCAGTGAGAAAGCAGGAAAAATCTGAAATCAACACCCTAACATCGCAATTAAAAGAACTAGAGAAGCAAGAGCAGGGCTTTAGTCTCTTCTGAAGACTTAACTAAGGAAGGATCCACCTTTTATTTTATTTTTTTTGAGACAGAGTTTCTCTTTTGTTGCCCAGTCTGGAGTGCAATGGCACGATCTTGGCTCACTGCAACCTCTGCCTCCTGGGTTCAAGTAATTCTCCTGCCTCAGCCTCCCGAGTAGCTGGAATTACAGGAATGCACCACCACGCCCGGTTAATTTTGTATTTTTAGTGGAAACAGAGTTTCTCCATGTTGGTCAGGCTGGTCTCGAACTCCCAACCTCAGTCAATCCACCTGCCTTGGCCTCCCAAAGTGCTGAGATGACAGGCGTGAGCCACCGCACCCAGCCAGGAAGTATCCACTTCTAAGCTCATTCTTGTAATTCAGCATTCAGTTCCTCAAGACATTTGGACTAAGGGGCTCTGTTCCTTACTGTTAGCCAGAGTCCACCTTCACTTCCTGATCACATGGACCTCCCTAGCTTGTTTCATCAGAGCAAATACTCAAGGAGAGCCAGAGAGAGAATTCTCGCATGAGAGAGAGTGCCAGCAATATGGAAGTCACATTTTTAATAAACTAACCTTATAAATAATATCTCATCACTTTTGCCATATTCTAATCATTTGAAGATAGTCACTAGGTCTTGCCCATACTCAAGGAGAGAGGATTTCACAAGGGCATGAACATTCCTTTTGTGTTCCACTACTGACCACACTTCTGTAAGTAATCCATTAAAGGTTGATAATTTGAAACATATGGGGGTGAATTTTCTTTCTGGACAGCCCCATAGTCGATACAGGGAACCGTGCATCCTTCATTGGAACTATTGCCTGCCAGGTAGCTGGTATTCAAGGATCAAGAAGCCACCACCAATGTTGCATTCATTACTTGCCAGCAATGAAGTCAGCTTCAGCCTCAGGAAAGTGGTATTCAGCCACTGTCATCACCTCTCCATTGAATCGTTACACTCACTGAGCTAATGACATATATGAAACTCTGCTGTCAAAATCTGCAATTACTCTATGACTTTGCTTGCCTGGCAGCAACAGCTGAAACAGCAAGAAGACATCACTAGAGCTGTTTCCAAATCTCACAAGATGCAGCTAATTGGTAGGAGCTACCTGACTTAGTTCTGCAATTTATGCCAGAAGAAGATAAAACTTGATTCTAAGTGCTGGGCTACCAGTTTTACCCATTCACCTCAATAGTCTATATTGTTTCTATGATAATGATTTTGTGGAAAGGGAAATAATAAAGAGGCAGCAGAGAGAAAGGGCAAATACAGGAAAAAGCTCCTGGAAAGGGATGGGATATTAACAATTATATTACATATTAGCAATTTATACATTCAGTTGTTAAGCTCATTTATTAGGAGTCTGATATGTCACAAGCCTTGAGCCCAGGAATCAAACCCACATTATCCAGCCTCTAGGTACTGGCAGAGGAAACAAGTGAATACCAGTTACAATACAGTGAGATAGACATTATAATTTATATATACATATATGTATATATATGTGTGTGTGTATATGTGTGTGTAAATATGTATGTGTATATAAAATTAGAGTAGGCATTAAAATAGCCGTAGGAAAGAGAGCATTTAGAAACTACTTCCCAGAGGGGAGTTTTATTTTGGATAAGGATAAAGCAATGACAGAAAGTAGGTGTGCTATTTTCAGAGATTAAGAGGCATAAGAAAATATGGCACTAGGAGAACATTTATTAACTGCATTTCATGTGGTGGGAACACTTGATGAAATTATATAGTTGTGTAGAATTTTGAGACCGATTACCTAAATGAGAGAGGGAGCCTTCTAGAGTGAATCCAGGAAAATCAAACCTACCCTAGAAAATTGAATTTTCTTTAGGAAAGCATGTTAAACCCAGGAAGTTTTTGTGACCTAGAAAAACTAGTTTTTAGAATTTTGAAAATAGATTGGACATTCAAAAAAATTCAAGGCTATGTCAGGAATTTGTGGTCGTTCTTGTTTACAAAGTGAAAACTGCTTAGCCAGTTCACATCTGGAAGAAACGAAAAGTAACAGATTGATAAATACTAAGTTCACACAGGCATTGAAAGTGGAAAGAAGTTCATATTTACATGAAAAATGATGAGTTAACTTTTAGACATGCTGATATTTTTATGTACACAAGACATCCAAATTGAGATTAATTAGGCAATTGTATGTGGTCCTAGAATTCAGAAAAAACTAAAAGGAATTGGAAAGAAATGCAGTGCATTTTATCAACCTATAGGAAGTGGCAAAACAAAAATGATTTGGATAAGAACGCCTGGGATGACATACAACTTGAAAAGATATAGGGAAAAACGACCAAAATCTGAAGAACCCTAACATTTATGATGAATGTGGAGTCATTGGCCTGAGATGGGCATATTTATCTTCATTTAGTAACAAAATATGATTTTTTTAAAGCTGAAATTCATCCAAGTATACAGCGAGGAGAGCTAGGAATGTAATGTAAATTTTATCTGAAATGTTTAATAAGAAAAACGTTTCTTCTTACTGTAAGTAAGAAAGAAGGGGAAGTATGTGAATTATGTCTGGAAGTTAAGAAAATAGTTTGAAATGCTTATGCCTGGGTTTAAAAAAAAAAGAATGCTAAACATATAAACACCACGTGAATAAATTGAACATTGCAAATGATAGCTTATGTTATGTCAGAGAGTTGCAAAAAGTAAATATTTTTAAAATGACCTACTGAAGTTTCCAAGAGAAAAGATGACAAATATTATATGTCATCATCAATATTAAGGGAAGTTTAGAATAGAGAAGTAATAAACAAATAAATAATTGATTATATATATGGTGACAGAAAATTCAAAATTCAATAGGAAGTCTTTAAGTAGGGAAAACATTCTGTTAATGGAATATTTTGAAAGCCCACATCTAAATTAGATAAAAGTGAAGATGGGGCCAGGTGCAGTGGCTTATGCCTTTTTTCCCAGCACTTTGGGAGGCTGAGGTGGAAGGATCAATTGAGTCCAGGAGTTTAAGACCGTTCTGAGCCACGTCTGATCCTGTCTCTACAAAATATAGAATAAAATTAGCCAGTCTTGCTGGCATGCACCTATGGTCCCAGCTACTCTGGAGGCTAAGGTAGGACAATCTCTTGGGCCCAGGAGTTTGAGGAGGCGGTGAGCTGTGACCACAACAGTACTCCAGCCTGGGTGATACAACAAGACTTTGTCAATAAAAGAAGGAAGGAAGGAGGGAAGGAAGGAAGGAAGGAAGGAAGGAGGGAGGGAGGGAGGGAGGAAGGGAGGGAGGGAGGATGGATGAAAAAGAAAAAAGAAAAAAAGTAAAGATTCTCTGATTATAAAAGGGATGAGGGTACCTGAGTGTCTTCTTTATTCTGGAGGATCCCTGAGGAACTCATGTAAAAAGGTAGTTTTAAAAGTAGGGAAAATGGAAACAAAACTGATAATTATGTATGTTATTTGAAGTTTCTGAATAACATGTGATTTAAAAAATTAGATCTGAAAAATTCTCTGCAAAATATTTTCTGCTTTTATATATTAATTTATTAAGTTATTGATTCAAGCATTTATTCAACAAATGTGCAGATGGTATGCAGTTCTCTTCTCAGGGCAACACTGTTTCAGACTCACAATCCCTGGGCACCCAAACTCATCACAAAACATCTTACAGAGTCATATGTGAATAAATAGATAAGTTATTCACAGATTGCATACACATACATTTAGAAATTCTGATGCAAAAATTTTGTAAATAATTAACATCTTAGTGTCAACATTTACATATTCTGTAAAGATAAATAATTATTTCCATATATAACTTTGGCTCTAAAATTTTCAAAAGGAAATCTCAGTACCATGGGTTTTAATCTTTTTCAACATGTTTCTTGTAAGAATTTAAGCTTGATCACATTTACCAATGTGTCTATCTCTGCTGCTGCTGACAGGGTAGATCGTGTTGAGACTGTGATTTACAGGATTTTATTAAGCTGTTCAAGGTTCTCCTTATAATATATTTATTCCTGATGACCTGGTTTCTGCACTGTCAGCTAGATATATTATAATCTATCATTTTGGATCAGCAGTATTTCTAGGTTCATTATGATTTTGTGCAGTCGCTCTTTTGAGATGCCATAAATTAATATCAATTTTATTTCCTTAGAAAGACTTATGCACATTTCTATACTGATTGAACTCAAGTCACTCAACTTTCTGAGGTACTATGACAGAAAAATAGATGCATAACCAAAAAATGTTAATTTTAACCCATCAGAGATTTTAGTTTTAGCATTTATGTAATAACTCTGAATTATAGAATTATTTAAAATGAATATAAATGTTCTTGTGGATTTTGAAATTACATTAATTTACTTTTCTTTAAAGTTACTTTTTATCAAAGTTACATTACTTGTTTCTTACTTCTTTGGTATCATCTTATCTATAAGAAAGATACTTATACATTTTATCTATGTGAAATAAATAAACTTAGTAAGCTAAAGGTAGTTCTGTATGTGCTAAAGTTTATGTTGTAATGAATTTTTATGTTCATAATGTTATTAATTAGATAATATTTTTATACTTTGATGAATATAAAAATATAGAATATATATGTGATAGTCCTTTTTCACACTGCTATAAAGATACTACCTAAGACTTGGTAATTTACAAAGGAAAGAGGTTTAATTGACTCACAGATCCACATGGCTGTGGATGCCTCAGGAAACTTACAATCATGCCAGAAGTCGAGGGGGAAGCAAAGCATGTCTTCACAAGGCAGCAGGAGAGAGTGAGAGTGAAGGAGAAACTGCCAGAAACTTTTAAAACCATCAGCTCTCATGAGAACTCACTCACTATCACAAGAACAGCACGGGGGGAAGACCATCCCCATGATCCAATCGCCTCCCACCAAGGTCCCTCCCTTGAACCTGGGGATTACAATTTGAGATGAGATTTGGGTGGGGACACAGAGACAAACCGTATCTATCTATATCTGTATCTATATAGATATACACATACTACAGTACATTTTATTACTCAAAACGTCTTATAAGTATCAGTTCAAAATACAAATTAGGTGGCTTTATCTTTATTGATCCTATGTATGGATTTATATAGGCCCTTCTTTCCCCACTCTTTGTTATAAACTGCCAATATTGTCTAATGATTGTGAGTTTATGCTGCAGACATAGCATATTATTTGTGGTTGAGTTGAAGGCTAAGATCCATTCCATAAACCTATTAAAATTCATGGATTACATTTTAGTCAATTACATCTTTCCCAAAAAGACGTTTTTTAAGAAACCATTGAACTCACATGTCTGTTTTTTTTTTGTTTTTCATTTAAAAAATATGTATAAAAATGGTGTTTGGAAATAATCTACATTTTGAGGGCTAGGAATTAAGTTCTGCTCAGCATGAAGCCATAATTAAAGCATAATATTACTCCAGTGGATTGAAGAAACTAGAAAAAATTTTACCTACTATATATGGTGACATTATAATCAAAATTAAATGTCAACAATTCCTTTACTGATTGTAAAAATGTAAACATTTTCTTTACTAATTAGTGACTAAAAGCCAGAAAGAAATTAGTTGAGAGTATGTTAAGTATTCAAACATGTTCAACAAGCCTCAAACATAGAATTAGGTTTTAGTGATTCAAAACTTATAAAGTTAATTCAACTTGAACCTGTATATCAACATGGTGTTAAAGTTTATTTTAATTGAGACTTTAGGATTTTTGGGGGCAGTGCAAAATTACAAGAAAACTGTCTGTGCTGAGAATTAGTTGAGTTGTGATGATGTACATGATGTTGGGCTTTTTGGTAGCTCATTTCATGACCTTAAATGAGATAATTTTCAAATGTTAATTTTATTGCACATAGTTTGTTATAGAATATATTATGTATCCTCAAATCACCCAAATGTCCCTGGTTTATGACATGACAGAAGTGCATTTGTGATTGCCATCTAGTGACAAACCCAAAAACAAACAAACAAAAACCCCCAAAATATTACTTCTGAAAATTCCAAGAGGCCAAAAGATAGAGTGAGTAAGCTACGTAGGACTCCCTCATCAAGACTGATTAGCTAAGCCAGGAGTTCTCGGGAAAAGTTATATAAATAGAGCTGTTGAAGTATACATAAGTAACGATCTTTATGGCTTCAACCAATGCCCATCAGGAAGTATTCAGTGAGGAGTTCACACTCAACAAGCAGGAAGTACCAGCCAGCCAGCCTATACCTGTGCCTGTGCAATGAGCTGATGATAAAGTAGCTCTGCACCTATTGCTACTGCTCAGTGACCAACCAAACTGAAACTGAGACAAATATCGAGGCTTTAGTTTGGCACCTCTGTGAATATGATAGTATTTCTTCCTAACTGGAATCAATATACGGTATACTGATGTCTTACAAAATGCCTTACCTATCAACAGAATATGCCACAGCATTTTCTCAGAAAGAAAGAGACACTTTATGTCAAAGGAGAAGTAATAATAGACTCCTGATGGTAGAATTCATTTTCTATATATTATAATTTGGAAACATCTAGCCAGAGAGATGAAGCCTTAGGGAGGAAGAAGAGTTTGAGCTTTGTGCTGTCTTCTAGAATGAGATAGATGTATTGAACTTAAAACCACTATATTGCATTGTGTCTCCAATAGCTATTCTAGATGGCTCTATACACCAAAGAGAGTAGGTAGGAATTATTAGCTTAGCTCACTGTTGAACTCAGTTATCCATTTATAGAATTTTGACTTCCCATTTTTAAGAACTTGGGATCTGCAGGTTTATCGATACTGGTTCATGGCAGGGAAGGACAGCTACATAAGAGGACAGAGTAAGCGATTTATTGATCTTGAAGAAGTACAACACTTGGATACTTTGGCTTTTCATGATGGTGGACAAGCAGGCAAAGAAAAGAAAGTCATTTTCTAGTTAAAATAATCAATCCTCATTACCAAGAATAACTAAGGTTTTTACCACACAATGAAAACAAGAAGTATTCTGAAGTTGAGGACATTTACTTAGGTGTGTTTAGTGTTCCCTATCAAATAATTAATGTCACTGGGCACTTAGAAGAATTAAAATACCAAAAATGGAAGGAATATTAGGAGTTCAGACTATTTAGTCATTGAAGACTTTGGTCTCCCCACTAGGCAAAGTAAACCAGCCAAAGTATTGACAAAAGGTAAGGGACATTTGAATGGTTTTGGTGGATGAGAGAGATGAATATTTAATACAGCCTTGGAAAGGCTGAGGCAGCAGAGACTGTACTTTTGTTTTCCTATAATCTTAGGGTTTCCAGGGAATTGTGACTTAACAGCTACCTGGAAAGGCACTCTTTATTGATTGGATGTATATGTGTTCTCTTAGGAAAGAGTGGGTATATCCAGTAGTGACCCTATGTTGTTCCATGGAGGATGGTTATAATGTGAATAAACAATTGGATCTGTGTTGTGAATGTACATCTGATTGTATATTTTCACAATTTTGATGTGCCCCTTCAGATTCCCACAGTTCACTTAAACCCTCTGCTGCTTACCGTGTCTCAGCTTACAGGACAATGTGGTCCAAACAAGTAGCTTTCCATGGGTGCCGAACCCTGTTTATTAGCTGCAGGTAGGATGGTCAGCCAATGCCAGGAATCTTTGTTGCCTGAAGGGAAGGAATCCTAAAGGACATGGGAACTGACTTCCTGACTGGTGATCAAAGGGACCCACTAATACAACTTCAAATTGCAGAAGAGTTATCACTCCACAGGATGCATCTTGACCATGGAAATTAGAAGACAGGAAAGAGTTAAACTTATAAATTTCTTTCTTTTCTACCTCCCATGTACTGATTTCAGGCATAGCTTCTGAGTAGAAGTTACTTGAAGACATCCTACATGGCTGAAAAACCTAGTATGTGTGGCTCTTTCTGACTTTTCTCAGGAAGTCAATTCTAGTATTTTAATGATCATCTGAATTCTCTATCCTTCTTTTGTCTTAATCCTGAGTGCCCTGGGTTTCAAGTAACCAAATAAGAATTTGCTTCAGGAGCAAAATTACTAGGATTTTCTGAAAATTCCAGGCTAAGTCAGTAATTTTACATTACCTTTCTTTTACCTCTTCCATAGAAATCATACTATTTTATATTTTAAACAATTGGCTGTTTCTTCAGTCTCATCAAATTAGAAGAGTTTCAAACACAACTTTTTGCCAATCTGGAAGATGTGAATATGTATCTCCTTGTAATTTTGACTTACAGTTATAGTTTTATAAGAAATCTGGGCACATATTCACATATTTAAGAGGCAATTGCATATATTTGTATGTGAGCTATTGTGCATATATTGAGCCCATTTTGGGGGATGTTGGTCTTGTATTAATTTTAAATTTAGATTAGAATGTATAAAATAGTATCACATGAGTGAAATTTGATCTGCATTGTATATGGTAAAATTATAGTCTAAAAAATTGAGTTTCAAACTTTTTTTTTTTTTTTTTGAGACAGAGTCTTGCTCTGTCGCCCAAGCTGGAGTGCAGTGGCGTGATCTCGGCTCACTGCAAGCTCCATCTCCCGGGTTCATGCCATTCTCCTGCCTCAGCCTCCCGAGTTGCTGGGACTACAGGTGCCTGCCACCATGCCTGGCTAATTTTTTTGTATTTTTAGTAGAGACGGGGTTTCACCTTGTTAGCCAGGATGGTTTCAATCTCCTGACATCGTGATCCGCCTGTCTCGGCCTCCCAAAGTGCTGGGATTACAGGCATGAGCCACCGCACCTGGCCAATTGAGTTTCAACTTTTTAGGCACATTTTATTGAAGAGGTACAAATTCTATAGAGTACTACAATTTCTTAATTCCTTATTGTCACCAATAGTCCCTACTTCTGTATTCTAAATTTCTTGACTTGGTGATTTTTATTTTTTCAAATTTTTGATATCATGTAAGTTGATAGTGATAATATCTTGCACTTAAAAATGACATTTACTTTAGCATTTGTAAAAATATTGTTTGACATCAAAGCATCAAATTTTACTATTCATACACTGCTCCAACGACCAATGGAATTATCCTTTTCCAAATTTTTGCCATTTCAAAGCATTGTCACTTTTTATTATCTTGACCTTTAAAATTATTTTTCTAGGCCGGGTGCAGTGGCTCATGCCTGTAATCCCAGCACTTTGGGAGGCTGAGGCGGGTGGATCACCTGAGGTCCTGAGTTCAAGACCTGCCTGGCCAACATGGCAAAGCCCTGTCTCTAATTTAAAAAATTACAAAAATTATCTGGGTGTGGTGGTGGATGCCTGTAGTCCCAGCTACTCAGGAGGCTGAGGCAGGAAAATCACTTGAACCCAGGAGGCAGAGGTTGAAGTGAGCCTAGATGGCGCCACTGTGCTCCAGCCAGGGCAACAGAGCGAGACTGTCTCAAAAACAAAAAAAAAAAGAAAGAAAGACAAATAAAAAAAAATGTTTGGTCCAAATTTAGGACTTTATACTATGATATGGTTTGGTGCTGTGTCCCCACTCCAATTTCATCTTGAATTGTAACCCCCATTATCCTCACATGTTGAGGGCTGAATGTAGAGGGAGATGATTGGATCATAGGGGTGGTTACCCACATGCTGTTCTCATGATAATGAGTGAGTTCTCATGAGATCTGATGGTTTTCTAAGGGGCTCTTCCCGCTTTGTTCATTCACGCTCTGTTACCTGCCACCATGTAGGATGTGCCTTTGCTTCTGTCTCACCTTCTGCCATGATTATAAGTTTCCTGAGGCCTCCTCAGCCATGCATAACAGTGAGTCAATTAAACTTCTTTTCTTTATAAATTACCTGATCTTGGGTATGTCTTTATAGCAATGTGAAAACAGACTAATACATACTGTAAAGGAAAATTTAAAATCTCAGTGATCTCCAAAGTTCTTATGGAAAAGGGAAGGTTAAGCCTGAAAGTGAAGTCATTGCAACACCCTCTTCCAAAAGCAAATCTGTTGCTATCATTAGGCATCAGCCAGATCTCCATGGAAAGGTAAAAGGTCTCTGGTATCTGCCAAGCACTGCCTCCACAGATTATTTCTAAGCAAAGTATTTGCTGGCCTCCCATAAAAAAGGGCATACTAATTATAAATTTAGGTCTACCATCTAAGTCTAGCTCCTAAAAGTAATGTCTATTCGATTATCTTACCAGGTGCAAAACAAAGACAAGACTCATTCCTCTATCCACTCAGAGATATCTGTATAATTGACTCTTCCTTTACTCTCTTCTCTGCAGACATTCACTTAACTTATGTAAAATGTACATTTACTGGGTATTAACTAAAGTCTCACAGGAATGTAACTATTCACCTTATCACCTACCTGCCCCTTCTGCTACATACCTTTGGTCCCTGTAGGAAATTTATAAATACTAAACCTTTCCCAGATGTACCGTAAAGCTGACTTAATAAAACTCAGTGATTGAGATATATGCCTCAGTTACTCATTTTAGTTGTCAATACTAACTTTTCTAAGTGCTATCCATAAAGGCAAATCAATTTTTAACATATGTTTTTTGTATGATTTATTTAATTAAATTAATACTTCAGCTATGATAGCATCTGCACTGTGTCTAATTTTTAAGTCTCTCAAGTCAAAAGTCAATAATCTCTTCTGAAATATATATTATAGCATTTACTTTGGTTTACTACTTTGTAATTTTTTTTTTCTTTTCCAGAACCGGTAACTAGAAACTAGAAACAATTTATTTTATTCAATCAGTGCTTTCCTCCCTTAATATAAATATGTTTACATCTTGACAATTGTGTATGTTTGTATGTGAGGGTATATGGTATAATTTATTAAATATTTGTTTCTTAATGTCAATGAAAAAGAATTTTCATTGACATTAAATATAATGTCATTAAATTATATATATTTAATATAATGACATTAAATATAATTTAAATATAAATGATATATTTAAAGAGGTTTATTTTGAGCCAAATGTGAGTGATCAAGGTCCGAGGCACAGTCTCAAGTGCTCTTGATTTTGTACATTGTAGAAGTTACAGGCAGACACAGACAGACATTAGTCAATACATGTAAAATACATGTTGGCTCAGGCCAGAAATGTGGGATAACTCAAAACAGGAGCTTCCAGGTCATAGGGGTATTTAAAGATTTTCTGATTGGCAAATGGTTAAAAGAGTTAAATTATTATCGGGGCTGGGCGCAGTGGCTCACACCTGTAATCCCGGCACTTTGGGAGGCCGAGGAGGGTGGATCACGAGGCCAGGAGATCAAGACCATCCTGGCTAACACAGTGAAACCCCATCTCTACTAAAAATACAAAAGAAAAAAAAAATTAGCCGGGCGTGGTGGCGGGCATCCTGGCTAACACAGTGAAACCCCGTCTCTACTAAAAATACAAAAAAAAAAATTAGCCGGGCGTGGTGGTGGGCGCCTGTAGTCCCAGCTACTCAGGACACTGAGGCAGGAGAATGGTGTGAACCCGGGAGGCGGAGCTTGCTGTGAGCCGAGATCGCGCCACTGCACTTCAGCCTGGGCAACAGAGCGAGACTCCGTCTCAAAAAAAAAAAAAAAAAAAAAAAAAAAAGTTAAATTGTTATCTAAAGACCTGAAATCAATAGAAAGAAATTAAGTCTGGGTTAAGATAAAGGGTATGGACACCAATATTCTCATTATGTAGATAAAGTCTCACAGGTGGCCAGCCTTAGAGACAATAGATGGCAAATATTTCCAGTTCAGATCTTTAAAAGGTGCTAGACTGTCAGCTAAACTATTCAGGATCAGAAAAAGACCCAGAAAGGGAAGGGGATTCTCTCCAAAATATAAATTTCCCCTACAAAAGACAGCTTTGCAGGATCATTTCAAAATACGTCAAATAAATATACGTTGGGGTAAAATACTTTAATTTCTTTGAGGGCCTGCTATCTGTCATGTGATGCTACACTAGAGTCAGGCTGGAATTTGATATATTATTGTTTCAAAGCATATGTTTTGTTAGTCTTAAGACTAGTGTGTTAACGTTCGTGCTGGTCAGTTGTGCCTGAATTTCAGAAAGAAGGGTATAATGAGGAGTGTCTGACCCACTCCCTTCCCATTATGGGCTTAACTAGCTTTTCAGGTTTACTTGAGAATCCCCTTGGTTGTCCATTTAGTCAACTGGGGGGGCTTAGAATTTTATTTTTGGTTGACATTCATTTAAAATGTTTTATACACTAGCATGCATTAAATTAAAGTTCTGTGAACGCTGTTTTGGTATTGGAAATTTATTTTTTTGCTCTCTACATAGTTTATTCAGATAAACTTTATCTAATTTTGTATCACTATAATAAAATATTTTATGTTAAAGTTTTATTTTTCCTTTGTTCAAAGTTGCAAGGCAGTCACATCATTCCCATTAAAAATATATTAAAATTATATTACTAATTCCTATTTGAAAATATATTGCAATGAATTTTATTTCCATAAAATACAAAAATTTTAGAATAAAAATAGACATTACAAAATGGACAAAAATAGATATATTTATAATTTTGGAATGAACTTGTTTATGTAAATTTGCATTTCTATGTTTAGGAAAAATCTCCTTTATTATTTTATTTATATTAATAAATAACACATAAAATAATAACAGAAATTTGTGACCTGAGAAAAATAGTTTGGTACCTAAACCCAGTAGGCAATAAATACTTATGAGGTGTTTTTAGCACAGAATAATAAATTATTTGAGTGAAATACTATTAACTCAAGTTTACACATAGCAATTAAATATCACGAAGCTCCTTCTAGTGTTTCCCCTGTGTTGAAAAGCAATTGCTATTTCTTTACTTAGTCTCAGTTTAGTTCTGATTTTTAATTAACATGAACCCAAGAATCTTCCTTTAAAACACTCTATTCCCAGGAGTGTGCTCTTCTAATTTCTAATGAAAAGTAAACACTGGATCTACGAAGCCTGCTGCTAGGTTTAATTGGAACTTATTTAATTTTACTTTTCACAAACTCTTGAATCAAATATGTGGTTTTTACTGCTACCATAGATGGTTTTCTGTCTTATTTTTATGCACATATAAACTGAATATTATATTTCTTATAGCAATTCTTTCTGATTTTTTTCAAATTAATTCAAAATGTAAGTGAGGAAGGAAGACTAAAAAGAGGTTACAAATTAAAGAGATAAATCCACCAACAGATTAACTATATAATTTTGCATTCATGATTAAAAAAGAGAAAACATGTTAATCATATTCTCTGATGTGTAGAGTTAAAAAACAAAACAAACAAAAAACACGGGAAAAGAAGAGGTCTGCAAGTTTTTCATTTATGAGGTGAGGTAATATTAAAGGGTTTCAAAGTTGAATTATTTTGAGAAAACAAGAGGTCTCTTGACTAACAAAATGGGAGATAAATTTTTATTTAAAGGAAATTATTTGCAAAAATCACAGACATAAACTTTTTATTAAGTACATTAACATATATAAAATTAATGTGGCTGTTCATTACATGTAGGAATATGAGTGGGACATCTGACTTCAAAATTATTTAGACATCATACTGCCAGAGTTCTTAAGTATCTCAGTAAAGAATTTAAAGTTCTTTTGAATGAGATAAAGTCCCATTGATATGCCCTAATGAGAAATGACACAATGAGATTTTTGTTTTAATAACTTATTCTGGAAACACATCATAAGTAAACTAGAAAAGTAAATAGAGTCAAAGTTAAAGAGATTGCATATGAGTAAACAAGGGAAAATTAGTTAGCTAGTGAAGGAGCGTATTAGGGTTCTCCAGAGGAGAATATGTATATATGAAAGGAAGTTTATTAGGGAGAATTGGCTCACATGATCACTAGGCAAAGTCCCCAAATAGGTCGTCTGCAGGCAGGGAAAGAAAGAAGCCAGTAGTGGCTCAGTCTGAGTCCAAAAGCCTCCAAAGCAGGGAAGCCAACAGTGCAGCCTTCAGTCTATAGCCAAAGACCCGAGATCCCCTGACAAACCACTCGTGTAAGTCCAAGAGTCCAAAGGCAGAAAAACCTGGAGTCTGATGTCCAAGGACATGAGGAGCGGAAAGAGGCACCCAGCATGGGAGAAAGATGAAAACCAGAAGACTCAGAAAGCGAGGTTATCCCACCGTCCTCCATGCCTGTTTTATTCTAGCCACTCTGGCATCCGATTGGATGGTGCCTGCCCAGATTGAGGGTGAACCTTCCTCCCCCAGTCCACTTACTCAAATATCAATCTTCTCTGGCAACACCCTCATAGACAAACCCAGAAACAATACCAGCCATCTAGGCATCCTTCAAACCAATCAAGTTGACACCTAACATTAACCATCACAAGTGGCTAAGAAATTACTACCATATTAATTGATTATGGAGAAATGTAGAGAAATTCAAACATAAATTATGCATATGTCATTACGATAGAATAGAAACATCATTACCATAATGGCAAGTCATCGAAGAGTAGATTTTCTGTTTCAGTGCGTAAAGTGGAAGATGGATAATAACAATTATACTCTGTTGAAATAAGGCTATCTATGGTATACTTACATGAAAAATTCAATTAGGCAAAAAAAGTGTGGATCAGAGTGTTAAAAATTTGTAAGATTATGGAAGAATGTATTTCATGAGAAGAGGGGCTCAAGAATAAACCTTTGAAAACACAAATTTTAATTATCAAAGTAAAAAGACAAATGTGGAGGGAAATTAGGAATAGCAAATGGAAAGATGGGAGTCAAGGAAGTAGAGAACATAGAGAAGGAGACAATAGTCAACAATGTCCTATGTCATCAGGAGGTACGATGAGAAAACACAGAGCTGTTCATTGCATATTTCAATTAAGAGTTCTTTGAGGACTTAGTAAAAGCAGTTTTGTTAGAACTGGGAAAATAAAATACATCGTATTGCATGTTGAACACTTACTTGGGTAACTTGTTTGTAACACAAAATATGAACATAGTAATATAGGCTATAATTTGACAAGGACTTAAGGAGGCTTTTTGTTATTGTCTTTTTTTCTCTTTTTTTTAAAGACTTTTTTAAACTCGTTTGTCTAGAGTCAAATTACAAGAAAGGTACAAAGATACCCCATATACTCCCTACCCCTACACATGAATAGCCTCTCCTGTTATCATCTCCCAGTGTGTCCAGAGTTGGTTCCTTCCAGTGGGTTCTTGGTCTCACTGACTTCAAGAATGAAGCCGCAGACCTTCCCAGTGAGTGTTACAGCTCATAAAGGTGGCACAGACCCAAAGAGTGAACAGCAGCAAGATTTATTGTGAAGAGCAAAAGAACAAAGCTTCCACAGGGTGGAAGGAGACCCGAACATGTTGCTGCTGCTGGCTGGGGTGGCCAGCTTTTATTCCCTTATTTGTCCCTGCCTATGTCCTGCTGATTGGTCCATTTTACAGAGTGTTGATTGGTTCATTTTACAGAGTGCTGATTGGTGCATTTACAATCCTCTAGCTAGACACAGATTGCTGATTGGTGCTTTTTTACAGAGTGCTGATTGGTGCATTTACAATCCTTTAGCTAGATACAGAGTGCTGACTGGTGCGTTTACAATCCTCTAGCTACAGAGTGCTGATTTGTGCCTTTTACAATCCTCTTGTAAGACAGAAAAGTTCTCCAGGTCCCCACCTGACCCAGAAGTCCAGCTGGCTTCACCTCTCACCAACAGAGTTACAAATGATCATTTGTTACAAATGATGAACCTATATGGACACATTATCACCCAAAGTCCATAGTTTACATTGGGTTCACTTTTAGTGTTGTGTATTCTATGGGTTTGAACAAATGTGTAATGAAATGTATGTACCATTATAGTATAATACAAAGTAGTTTCATTGCCCTAAAAATCCTCTGTGCTTTGCTTATTTATCTTCTCCCCATCCCCTGGAAACCATTGATCTTTTTGCTGTCTCCATAGTTTTCTCTTTTCCAGAATGCATAGTTGTAATCATACAGTATGCAGCTTTTAGACAGGCTTCTTCACTCAGTAAGTTTCCTCTGTGTCTTTTCATGGCTTGATAACTCATGTTTTAAATTTTTAATAATATTCTATTGTCTGGATATACCACAGTGTATTTATCCATTCCCCTACTGAAGGACATCTTAGTTGCTTTTAAGTTTTGGCAATTATGAATAAAGCTGCTATAAACATCCACATGAAGATCTGAACTCATTGGCTAAATACCAAGGAGAGTAGTTGCTGAATTGCATGGAAAGAAAATGTTTAGTTGTGTAAGAAATTGCTAAACTGTCTTCCAGTGTAGTTGTATTATTTTGCACTCCTCTCAGGATTGAATGAGAGTTTCTGTTTCTCCATATCCTCACCAACATTTGGCATTGTAAGTGTCCTGGATGTTGGCCATTCTCAGGTTTATAGGTATATGATTAATTTAATTGAATTTCCTTAATGATATATGATGTGGAGCATCTTTTAATATGCTATGTGCCATTTATATATCTTTTTTGGTGAGGTGTCTGTAGATGTCTTTGGGCTATTTTTAAATCTGAATAAAATGGTATTTAAGGAATCATTTGATTTTGAAATCATTCAATTTACTGATTATTTGTAGTCTTATTACTGAGTTTTAAGATTTTTTACAGAGTGTTGATTGGTGCATTTACAATCCTTTAGCTAGACACAGAGTGCTGACTGGTGCGTTTACAATCCTCTAGCTACAGAGCGCTGATGTGTGCATTTTACAATCCTCTTGTAAGACGGAAAAGTCTTGCAAGACTTTTTGCAAAGAGTTCTTTGCCTACTTTGGATAACAGTTCTTTATCAGCTATGTCTTTATTTATTTATTTATTTTTGAGCTCAGAATAGTTACATTTTTGGACAATTAAGAATTGTATACATTTAAATTATGCAACTCAATTATTATCTGTATACACAGTGAAATATTCACCACAATCATGCAAATTAACATCTCCACCACTGGTTTTACAAGGGTATTTTCTAACTTTGGGACTTGTCTTCTCGTTCTCTTGGCAGCTTCTTTCACAGAGTAGGAATTTTTAGTTTTAATGAAGTCCAGCATATCAATTTAGATCATGCCTCTGTTGCTATATCTAAAAAGTCTTCACCAAACCCAGAGTCATCCAGATTTCCACCTATGTTATTTTCTAAGAGTTTTATAGTTTTATTTAAGTCTGTGATACAATTTAAGTTTTGTAAAGCGTATAAGGTGTGTGTCTAAGTTTATGTATTTTTTGCATGTGAAGGTTCAGCTGTTTCATCGCCATTTGTTGAAAGAAACATCTTTTCTCCTGTGTATTGTGCTTGCTCCTTTCCAAAGATCAGTTGACTATAATTATGTGGGTCTATTTCTGAACTCTCTATTCTGTTCTACTGATCTATTTATTTATTATTTCACTGATATCACACCATCAAGACAACTGTAGCTTTATAGTAAATCTTGAAGTCATGTATTATTAGCTCTTCAACTTCGTGCTTCTTCTTCAATATTGTATTGACAATTCTGGATCTTTTTCCTCTCTAATAAATTTTTGCCAATATCTACAAAATAACTTTCTGGAATTTTAACTGGGTTGTATAGAATCTATAGATCAATTTGTGAAGAAGCAACATCTTGTCACCTCTTCCTATTTATGAGGATGAAATATCTCTGCATTTTTAAGTCTTATTTGATTTTTTTCATCAGAATTTTTTAGTTTTTCTAGTATAGATTTTGTATGCATTTTGCTTAATTTATGCCTAATTATTTCATTTTGGGTGATGCTAAAGTAAATGTATTGTGTTCCTAATTCATTATTCCACTTGTTTAGTGATGCTATAAAGAAAAGTAAAATAAACTTGTATATTAACCTGTATCCTACAACCTAGCTATAGTCTCTTATTAGTTCCTGAAGCTATTTTTGTCAGTTCTTTCAGATTTTCTACTTAGACAATTATATCATCCGTGAACAAAGAAAATTTATTTATTTCCTCCCAACCAGGATATCTTTGTTTCCTTTATATCACTTATTGCATTAGCTAGGACTTCTGTTATGATGTTGAAAAGAAGTGATGAGATGTGGCATCTTTGCCTTGCTTCTAATATTAATGACAAAGCTTCTAGTTTCTTACAATTAAATGACATATTAGCTATAAGATTTTTATTAACGTTATCTATTAGGTTGAGGAAGAACTCTCTATTCCTTTCTTAGTGAGATTTTTTAAAACAAATCATAAATGAGTGTTAAAATTTATCAGATGCTTTTTCTGTATGTATTGATATGTTCAGTTAATTTTTATTTTACACCTTATCATGGGATGAATTGCATCAGTAGTATTTTGAATGTTGAATCAACTTTACACACCTGACATGAATCTCATTTTGTTATAGTGCAGAATTATTTTATACATTGTTATATTCAACTTGATAAAAATTTTGTTGAGGAGTGTCGTATCTACGTTCATGAGAGAGCATGCAGTTTTCTTTTCTTGTAATGTTTTCATCTGATTTTGACATTTAGGTGATGCTGGCCTCATAGAATAAGTTAGGAAGCATTCCCTCAGTTTCTACCTTCTGAAGGAGATTGTAGAGCATTGGTATAATTTCTTTGTGAAGTATTTGAGGGAATTAACCAGTGAACCTATCAAAGACTGGTGTTTTTTCTGTTTTGAAACTTTATTAAATGTGTCTTTCAGTAAATTTGTCTATTTCATCTAGGTTATTAAATTTATGGGCATAGAGTTGGTTATAGTATTATAGTATTATTCTTTTAAAGGCCATTGGATTTATAGTGATCTTCCCTCTTTAATTTTTTATATTAGCAATTTGTATCATCTCTTTTTTCCTTGTTAGCCTGGATAAAGGCTTATGATGTCTTTTAGCCTTTACAAAGCAGCAGCTACGGTTTCATTAATTTTTTTATTGTTTTCAATTTAATTGATATCTGCTCTAATTTTTATTATTTTTTTGCCTCTGCTTACTCGCATATAATTTGCTCTTCCTTTTCAAGTTTTGTAAGGTTAAAATTTAGATCATTGACTTTTTAAATCTTTCCTGTTTTATACTATATGCACTCAATTATATAAAATTTCCTCTTAACTCTGCTTTCACTGTATCCCCAAATTCTAATGAAATAAGCAAATTTCATTTAGTTCAAAATATATTTTATTTATCTTAAAATTTATCCCTTGTACATGTGTTATTGAGAAGTGTGTTGTTTAATCTCCACATATTTAGGAATTTTCAAGTTATCTTTGTGTTGCTGATGTCTTGCTTAATCCCATTGTATTATAGAAGCAGACATTGTATTGTTTTCATTTGTTCAAAAATTTTTAAGTTGTATTTTGTGGTTGATTTTGATAAATGTCCCATATGAGCTTAAGAAAATGTGTATTCCATTGTTGTTCGATGAAATACTTTATAGGTATAAAGTATAGTCATTAGTCTGGTCTTTTGTGTGGGTGGGTATATATGTATTTTTTCTTTTTTTTTTTTTGGTAAGCAAATCTTGACCATATTCATATAGTTAGAGGTTAATGATATGATATATGTATAATGTTCAGCTAAGGCATGGGGGCTTCATAGATCTTTCTGTAGAATCAACTCAGATCCATGAAAGTCAAATGTGTAACAGAAATTTGGAGAAATTTATGCTTTCAGAATGTTTTCAGTTTCCGTTTTGTACCTGGTGCCATACTCATAAAAACTCAGAATACAAATAATGACTTAGCCACTTGCCTGCAGTCAGTAGGATTTGGCAAATATTAAGCAAATTAAATTGGTTAAAAGAAGATATGCATTCATGCTGTGGAAAAGAATTTGCTTATTAAGTTTACACGTGATAGGCTCAATTTTCTCTGTGAGTTGGGAAAATAGAGTAATGTGCTAAAAGGAAAATAATTTTAGGAAGAGTCAGAATGAGTAAAGTAATTTGAGAGCAATGTAGGAGACACAGTTGATGTATAAAACTGCACTTCTGTATTCTAGAGGAACAAATTCACTCAGGTCCCCACTTTTTCACAGAAGAATTTGGAGATTAGGGAAACGAAAAAAGAATTTGGTTAGACTACTACTCTTTTCTTGGAAAAGGCACAAACAGAAGAGGACTTGATGCTGCTGCCCAGCATGACCCAGGTTACCCACATTGGGTTGAAAATGAAATTATGAAGCTGATGAGCAAAACAGTGACTTGCCATTCTTGAGTCAGTCAAAATACAAATTAGTAGCACTCCACTAAGTGTGGAAAGAAAGAGGAAGAGGGATATACTTGTTAGATAACATATAAAAAAATTTATTATGTAGAAGATGAAGAGGGTATATATTAAAACTGTAAGTATAGTGCATTCTTCAGTTGGTTGATTCATTCTAGCAAATTATCAAACATGTTGGGGTAGTGAGAACCACTGAATTTGCTGTTAATTTGTCAGATATGAGGATTTTGGGGGAATCCGTTTAAATCATAGCATCAATTAATTGAACACCATTTATTAAATACAATTTATATGAAATTATGTAAATAAATATATATATAGTTATATAAATTCAAGCTTAATAAATAGCATTGCTCGTATGGCAAAGATTTGGATGAATCTTTTTGGAAGCTTTCTCTTCTATTCCCTTGAACTCCTGATATATTCTTGCACCAGTATCACACTGCCTTTAATGCAGTAACCTAAAAATGTCTGGACGCCTATTAGGATATATTCTACTTTGATCTTTGAAGCTTTCTTGGACTTTCTTGCACTTTTGCTATTAAAGTTTAGATTCAAGGTATCATGTTCCCTGAAAAAAAATATTTTGAGATTTTCTTTTAAATTACATGTATTTTGTAAAAATAAATTAGAGCTTTATAATATTGCATCAAAATTGTTGAGCTATGTCTCCATTTTTATATGTTAATAATATCTTTCAATAAGGATTAATACTATGTTCCATAAAATCTTGCACATTTTAATATCAATTGACATATATCTTACATCTTATTTTAATTATAAATGGTACTACTAAATACATATATAATATTTCTGTTGGTGGTACATAAAGTTAATATTTGCTTTTGCTCCTTTATAACCTGTCCTTCCATATGATGCTTGAAGGAACAATAAATATTTAATGACTACCTGGAAGGCATATCTTACTGCAGACCTCAATGTTAAGCTCTGCAAAAATTTTATCCAAGACCTTGTCATTTTCTTGAAAGTTCAAGACTCTCCAATTTTAAGCTGCTTGCTAAACACAAAATGAAAACTATATCCAAAATGTTATTACATAACTTTTTGTATAAGAGAACAATAAAGAAGTAAGCAACAATATCAATTTGCCCTAAGGACATAAGATTTTCTATCTAGTTGCTTGAAAAGTGTAAAATAGAAAAGAAAGACAAAATAAAGCCTTTGGTCTTTTAACACAGAAAACTCCAGCTTTAATAAGTAAGATCCAATAAAGGAAAGGGAACTGGTCATATAGGTGGGCATTGAAAATAAGAATGGAGATATTTTGGGTGCTGCTGTACACTGAACCATAAAACACCACTCAACCTCCTTTGTCCAAAGAAGCAGCCTCTTCTTTGTGTCTTATTAGGTTGTCTTCAAAATATGGTGATGACATATCTTTAGGAAATATTTTTGTGAAAGTTTGTGGTTCTATTTATGCTCCACAATGCCACTTCTTCTCTCCTGACCCGTACACAGACTCATAAGTCAGCATACCACACCAGTGAAGTATAAAATCATATCTTGTAAATAAAGCTTAAGTATCATAATTTGCAAGGTTGTAAGGCTTTGACCAATTAATATCAGCTGAAACCCAGGGAATTTGAATAGGAGTAGATTCTCAGGATCCTCGTAAGAAAGGAAGCCACCACCTAATTTTACATTAGGTCAACAATATTAATTTTCATATATTTATCAATTTTAATTAAATCAGTTGATTATAATTGATAAATGTATAACATTTGATACATTTAATAATTAGCTCAAATAGATAAATTTAATTATAACTGTCCTTTATGTTGACTTACACTAACAAAAGTTGAATTTCTAGAACAGCCTTGATACAATGTAAATATAATACTTAAATTAGAGTAGATTGACCCTGTGTTAAGTCAAAGATAAAACTATTTGCCCTTAGTGGGCCCAGAGGATTCTCCCAAAAGAAAATGGAGAACATAAGATGTTCATGGATCAAATATCTCAATACTGTTTTGTAGTTTTTGTGTCAATTCTGCCCAATCAATCTACACATTTATTTTGGACTAATGTAAATGTTGATTGAAAAATTTACATCAAATGCAAAAGGGTCAAAAAAAAAAATGGTAATCTCAGGGGATAAACAGTTATGGCATATTTATCACATTAAATATCAAGCATTTTATAAAGTTATAGTAATAAAAACAGTCTGAAATTGGTGCAATGATGGACAATAAACCAATGGAACAGAATAGACAATACAGAAAAAGAATCTCACACATATGGTCATTTTTATAACAGATTTGCAAATAAGTACAGTTAGGGAGAAGCTGGCTTTTAAAAATAATTAGTGAGCATTCATATACAAAAAATATGTATATTCTTACCTCACGCTATAAACCAAAATGGACGAACGATACATGTAAGTCTGGACCTGGCACAGTGGCTCACGCCTGTAATCCCAGCACTTTGGGAGGCTGAGATGGGTGGATCACCTGAGGTCAAGAGTTCAAGACTAGTCCGGCCAACATGGCGAAACCCGGTCTCTACTAAAAATACAAAAATTAGCCGGGCTTGGTAGTGCCTGCCTGTAATCCCAGCTACATAGGAGGCCGATGAACGAGAATCGTTTGAACCCGGGAGGTGGAGATTGCACTGCGCAGAGATTGCATCACTGCACTCCAGCCTAGCAACAAAGCAAGGCTCTGTCAAAACAAACAAACAAAAAAAACCATGTAAGTCTGAATGCAAAATCTAAAACCATTAAATAAAAAAAAAAATCTTTTTTTCCCTTTTCTTTTATTTTTTTGAGACAGTCTTGCTCTGTTGCCCAGGCTGGAGTGCAGTGGTGCAATCTCTGCTCACTGCAAACTCCATCTCCTGGGTTCAAACGATTCTTGCTCCTCAGCTTCCCAAGTAGCTGGGATTACAGGCAGGTGCCACTATGCCTGGCTAATTTTTGTATTTTTAGTAGAGACCAGGTTTCGCCATGTTGGCCAGGCTAGTCTTGAACTCCTGACCTAATGTGATCCGCCCACCTCAGCCTCCCAAAGTGTTAGGATTACAGACGTGAGCCACAGGGCCCTTCTGAAAAAAAGATTTCTTAAACAGGACACTGAAATCACAGTATAAATTATTAATCCTCTAAGGCAAAAGTTTCCATTGAATCATTAGGTAAGTTGCCACAGGCTACTTACTATCACTGAGAAAAGCAAAACTAATGAAGTGAGCCCCATGACAGCCATGGCTTTTGATCTGTGACAACTTTCTGACTAATGAACTGGGACCTGGAGATCAAGTAGACCAAAGCAGCCCAACAGAAATGACACCTTTTTATTCTATTTTGTTCTAATCATTGGTTTTATATAAAATAATTGTTTTAGCTGTTGGAGAATTGTTTATTTGTTCTTTTATAACACTACTCACAATTATTAATCCCTCTGTGACAACGGATTTTAATTCTGGTCTATAAATTCCTTAAGATCAAGAACCATACTAGGGAGATGGGCATGCCAAGGGCTCCTTTTGAAATACCATGACTACTGAATAGTGCCTGCAGCAACTGATTTCATGCCATGGGAATGATCATATAGTCTTTCCCTGCAACATTAGTTTGTTCCAACCCCATAATCCCTCCATATTACAAAATAACTTGTCTAGGTCATCTAAATGATCTCTTTTGATGAGAGAGGGAAAAGGAAATTAAAATACGTAGGGCATGTTTTAATCGTTTTAATTGAGAAAGGTTAATGCATCTACTCTGGCTCAAAAAATGTTGCTTAAACAAAAAGTGTGAGACAATTCAAATTTTTTAATCAATCTTGGAATGACAACCAAAAATCCCTACAAAACCCTATTAAGAGTCTTTCTCTAAGTAGACAAACATTCATGGTTTCTCAATTGTTTTAAAAGACACATATACTAATACTTTAAAGAGATAAACCTAGTTTTTACACTTCTCAATGTTTAACATTTTTAAAATATATACAGTAAAATATTTAATTTATTTAAAGAATCAATTTTTATGAATCCCGAAGTGCTGAGATTGCAGGTGTAAGACATCTGTAATTGTTGCCTGATTCACAAAGAGTAGCACATGTTTTGAGTTTATTTATTCATGCTATAAATACTTATTTGAAACCATATCACATCAGCTTTCATCATGATTTTATATTCCAAAAATGATCAAACAATCTTCAACTTCTGGGAGATGTTAAGTATTCTCAAAAATCTGATTTAATTTATCCTGTATGTGTAGCTACAACTTAAATATTTTGAAGTTGTGTAAAGAGTACTAATAGGTAAAACCTACACCTGTAGGACATATTTTATCTGTTTTCCATATGGTTGAAATAGCTGGCATAAATATATATTCTGGTTTTGAAGAAATAATAAAATGAGCAATTCGTTCTAGAAATAATCCCAACTTACTATTGCTGAGCAAACACCACGAATTACCTAAGACTTGATTAATTTTTAAAAGTTCACCTTAAAAAATAAAGTTGGTTTGAGTACTTTCTCTATGGCAATTCTGGTGATTTTCACCTGTCCTCATTATTTCACCGCAAAGTCCAAGTCAGAAAATTAAGGACTGCACCACTGAAAATACCCAAGTCAGATACTTTTGAATAAGAAGATGAATGGAAAACTGTCAAGACTCAAAGGGCCATCACAGAGAGGTTGCTGGTTTCTCTTTTAAGTTTTGTGGGCATTTTACATAATAAGTGTACTAAGAATTTCTATGTGGTGCTTAAACATCAATTAGTTAATGATAAATTAGCTCATTTTTTTGTCCTTGCACTTAGTTTAATACAACTAAATTTAAACTTTTTTTTTCATTCTCAACTAAATGCCAGGCTATTAGCTACAGACAGATGGAAAGGGAAATGGGAATTATCCATGTCCAAAATAACTCAATCTCAAGGAAGGTTTTTGAGAAAAAAACATGCCACTGTGTGAGGCACTATCTGTATTTGGTTTCATTTTCCAGACGTTATGGACAGAATGTGCATCCCCTTCAGATTGATATGCTGAAGCCCTAACACTCAGTATCCCAGAACGCAATTCTATTTGCACACATGGCCTTCAAAGGGGGAATTTAGTTAAAATGAGGCTGGTAGAGAAAACCATAAACAAATCTGACTTCAGTCTAAAAGAAAAATAAAAAAAGAAGAAGAAGGAATTTGGCCCAGATGCAGTGACTTACAGTGGTAAACCCAGCTCTTTGTGAGGCTGAGGTGGGAGGATTGCTGGTGGCCAGGAGTTGAAGACTGGGCAACACAGTGAGACTACAGCTCTACAAAAAATTTTAAAAATTAGCGGGTATGGTCGCCTGTGCCTGTAGCCGTAGCTACTCTGGAGGTTGAGGCAGGTGAATCATTCAAGCCCAGGAGTTTAAGGTTGCAGAGAGCTGTGATAATGCCACTCAGCTACAGCCTGGGTGACACAGTGAGACCCTTTTTTTCTTTTTTTTTTGAGACAGAGTCCCGCTCTGTCGCCCAGGTTGCACTGCAGTGGCTCGATCTCAGCTCACTGCAAGCTCTTCCTCTCGGGTTCACACCATTCTCCTGCCTCAGCCTCCCGAGTAGCTGGGACTACAGGTGCCCTCCACCATGCCCGGCTAATTTTTTTGTATTTTTATTAGAGACGGGGTTTCACCGTGTTAGCCAGGATGGCCTCGATCTCCTGACCTCGTGATCCGCCCACCTCAGCCTCCCAAAGTGCTGGGATTACAGGCGTGAGCCACTGCGCCCGGCCATGAGACCCTTTCTTGAAGAGGAAGAAGAAAGAAGACGAAGGAAGAAGAGGAAGAAGAAGGAGAAGGAGAAATGTATACACAAAAAAAACACCTGTAGACATCACATGTAGACATCATATGATTTTACTCAATCATATGTGTACACTGAAGGAAAACCCATGTGAAGAAGCAGGCCAAGGGTGCTTATTTGCAAGCTCAGTAGAATGCCTTAAAAGAAACAAACCTGCTGGCATCTTGATCTTGAACTTCTAGCCCTCAGAACTCAGAAAATAAATTTCTCTTGTTTAAGTCCCCCAGTCTGTGGTATCTTACTATGGCAGACCTACCAAATAGGATTCCAATTGCAACTTATTTATCTAATAAAGAAATTTACTTAACATACATTTCAGAACTTACTTTTCACTGGGGTCTCTACTGCATAAGACCATGAACAAAAAAGACATTGTCTCTGAATGATAAATGCTAACATCTAACCAGAGTGGGAAAAATATTGAATAAATACAGCCATTAGAATGAGTGTGAAAACTTTTTGGTACAATGTATTTTGAGAACAGATTATCAGAAGCCTAAATCAATTTGATCATGGGAGTTTTCCCTTACAGAGTTATTTCAAATTTATTCAATACCTAAAGGTTGCATATCAGCTAGCTAAGCAAAGTGGCAGAGAAGGAGCAACATGTTCCTGGTGGAAGAAAACTAAGAGACGAGAAACCACTGAATCTTTATTAAGGTGGGAGAAGCTGATGCAGCAGACGGAGCAGGAAACTAACTCATGGGTGACACACTCAGAGGAGAGCAGGGGTCAAAACACGAAGGGCCGTGCCAGCCAAGTCACTCCAAAAGACATTCAAAAGTCAGAAAAATGCTTTTCAGCAGAGCAGAGTCCATTTTAGTTTAGTTTTGTTTTGTTTGCCAGTTTTGTAGAGGTAGAATTTACATACCAAGAAATCTCTCTTTAAGGTATTCAGATTGATAAGTTTTCGTGATTTTATTCAATCATGAAACTATCACCAGAATGGAGATACTGAACATAAACGATGCTCCAAGAAATTTCCTCCAGTCCCTTTGTGTTTGAATTTTTCCCCTGTTCCTGCCCGACACAACCACTGATTTTTTTTTTAATTGCTATAGGTTTTTTCCCCTAGAATTTAATATACAGTAATCCCCTCTTATCTGCAGTTTCCGTTTCTGGGGATTCAGTTATCATCAGCCAACTTTGGCCTTAAAATATTAAATGGGAAATGCTAGAAATAAATAATTTATGTATTTTAATTGTGCATTGTTCTGAGTAGACTCATGAAATCTCTCGCCATCCTGCCCTGTTTCTCTCAGGACATGAATTATCCCTTTGTCCAGCATATGTGGTTTATAGATGCTACCGGCCAGTTAGTCACAAAGGAGACTTCTTGGTTATCAGATTGACCATTGCAGTATTTTAGTGTCTGCTTTGAAGGTTCTTTTCAATTATATTTAATAAAGGCCCTAAAGCCCAAGAGGAGTGACGCTGACAATTTGAACCAATATTCTAAAGAGATGCAGTAAAATGTGTCCTTTAAGTGAAACAGTGGAAGTTCTCCATTTAAGGAAAGGAGAAACATCTTGTGCTGAGGTTGCTAAGATCAAAACTACAATGAGATATTTTGGGTGAGAGAGATCACATTCCCCTAACCTCTATTACAATATAATGTTTCAACTGTTCTATTATATTGTTAGTTATTATTGTTAATCTCTTACTATGCCAAATGTATAAATTAAACTTTATCATAGGTATGTATTGTCAACTGAAGAATTGTTCACAAATTTGGAAAGAAGAGTTTTATTTCTCTTAAACATTGCACCCTGCAGGGTAGCCATTCTGACAGACTGGGAAGCATAGCCTCCAGGCAGAAGCTGGAAAAAAGACACTATGAGGGAGGAGCAAAGGGGAAAGGAATTTATGCTGAGCAGGGTGGCTGAATATACATATTTAATAGGCTATAGGAGGAGTCATGAATATTTATGAAAGAGGAAACATGTGCAGGAGCAATGAAGCTTCATGCCTCTTCATAAGCCCCAGGTTCAAAAAATGATTTGAGGATGGAGTTTTTGGCCCTGTAACATTAAAAGGTGAAGCATTAAAAACCCTCACTGTAGCCGGACGCAGTGGCTCATGCCTGTAATTCCAGCACTTTGGGAGGCCCAGGTGGGTGGATCACGAGGTCAAGAGATCGAGACCATCCTGACCAACATGGTGAAACCCCGTCTCTACCAAAAATACAAAAATCATCTGGGTGTGGTGGTGCATACCTGTAGTCCCAGCTACTAGAGAGGCTGAGGCAGGAGAAACGCTTGAACCCGGAAGGCAGAGATTGCAGTGAGCCGAGATTGCACTACTGCACTCCAGCCTGGCAACAGAGCGAGACTCCGTCTCAAAAAAGCAAAACAAAAGAAAACCCTCACTGTGCATCCTCTGCAGACTGGCCAGAACCACTTGAAAGTCAGTGGTCTCTTATCAGAAAGGAATGCTTGTTGATTGTTGTGCAAAAACTACAAAAGGGAGAGACTGTGTCAGGCAGGCAGTTGATATCAATAGTGGATATAGCCTTTCCAAAGGGCTAGTTGGTTTAACTCTTGGGAAAGAAAGCAAAGGAGGAGGTAGAGTGAGGCTCGTCTAACCTCTCCTCCTGTCATGGCAGGGAACTCAGTTTTCAAGGTTTCTTGAGGTGGTCCTCTTGGACAAGAGGGGATCTGTTCACTTGGGGGGCTTAGGATTTCATTTTTAGGTCTCAGTATGTATTAAAAAACCCACAGAGTATATAGAGTTTAGTACTATCTGTGGTTTCAGGCATCCACTGAGAGTCTAGGAATGTATCCCCCTCAGATAAGGAGATACTACTGTAAATATAATCATATAATTTAAGTATATTCTGTTCAATTTCTTTCATATACCATAATGTTTTAAAATATTTAGTTGTTTTTTTGTTAGCCTTATATAGTATATGTATGCTACAATTTGTTCATTTACTAGTTGATAGTTCAAATGTTCTGTATTTTAGTATCAAGAATGATGCTGCTATGAACATTTATGTACAACTCTTTGGATGAATATATGCTATCTTTTCTCTTTGCAAGAGTAGCTCAGAGAACTCAAGAAAACTGTTTACTCACATTAACCCTGTACTGCAAAAGTTACAGATGAAGAGCCAGATGAAAGAGATCCATGAGGCAAGGTATGGAAAAAAGGAAGAAGAGCTTCTATGCCCTCTCTGGGTAGCTGTGCCACTCTCAAGGAACCTCCAATTATTTAGCTATGTAGAAGCTCTCAACTCAGTCCTTCTGGGTTTCTATGGAGGTATTATTATATGAGTTTGATTAATTACATTATGAACCATTGGTGATTAATTCAACCTTCAGCCCCTCTCCCCTCCAAGGAGGCGGGCAGTGGGACTGAAAGTTCCAAACCTCTAATCACAGGGATGGTACTCCCGACAACAAGCTCCTATCCTGAGGCCATGTAGGGACCCTCAGCTACCAGCCATCTCATTAGCATATAAAATACATTAATCTCCACCAAAATGGTTTACTTCAGTTCTATCAGCTCTGTGAAAAACCTAAATGGCTCATAGACACTAACTGTTAACTATTGTGGCTATAATAATTTCAGGCATTTTACCCTCCACATTGTTGGACATGATGAAAGTTGTAGAAAGTTCCAAAGCCTGAAGCGATTACTATTTCCCTGTAGACTTAGTTAATTCTTTCTATATTATTGACCTTGAAAGTAAAGAAAAAGAAAATAATCACTTTTACATAGACAGTGCTGTGATAATCATAACAACCCTCTTATTCAGGGTATCTATATTCTCAAATGTATTGAACTAATATTCTGTAACTAGATTTAAATTTGATTACTGTCAAAATAAAATGGATTAATTATAGTGATGACTTGATGTATTTTTTCTTAGAGAAATAAGCCAAAGAGGAGTTTAAAATGGGGCTGGGTGCAGTGGTAGCTCACGCCTGTAATCCCAGCACTTTGGGAGGCCAAGGTGGGCAGATCATTTGAGGCCAGAAGTTCAAGACCAGCCTGGCCAACATGGCGAAACCCTGTCTCTACTAAAATTATAAAAATTAGTTGGGTGTGGTGGCACGTGCCTGTAATCCCAGCTGGAAGCTGAGGCAGAATGCTTGAACCTGGGAGGTGGAAGCTGAGCCAAGATGGCGCCACTGCACTCCAGCCTGGGCAACAGAGCTAGACTCCATCTCAATAATAATAATCATCATCATAATCATAATCATAATCATATAATAGATAAATAAATAAAATGGGAAAGGCACATATTACTGGCTGAGCATGGTTAACTAATGGGGCTGAAAAAGAGGGCCCTGCCCAACAGTTAAATTTACCAACTGCCTGCTTCTGTATCAGATTCTGCTTTGTTCTCTTGATTAGATCAGATAGAAGTGTACATGAAAAATTATAGAAATTGCTATTCAATACATTAGAATAATGTCTAAAAGAACTAATATTAGTGTGATATAGTAGCTAAAGATCAGTGATTATTTGCCCCTAGAACTCCAGAAAGGACAATTATGGGAAACAATTTTTGCATGTTGAACAAAATGCATCTTGAAACCTCTGAACATGATCCTTTAACAATTGCCTTTGTGCCACATTACTTGAAGTTGCTTATAATTTACTTGAATTTCACCATTACAACAAGTACTCAGCACTTTTGATGACTCAACCAATGCTGGCCTCAATGCAGTAAGGTGTTCTTGTGACCATGGAAAGCAGATTTGATGTAAACTAGAAATGGAAAGGACTTTTCTGGCAACTCACTTTGGGTATAAGAGGGACACTAGAAGTAACTATTTCCAAGGAAACTGGACATACACAGTTGAAAGAGAAAGAAAATCTGATCAAATTAAAGGACAGTAATCAGGTGACCTGGAGGCTCACACTACAAGCACATACAGGCAGGGACATTCTAACTGTAACTGAGTACCCTATTTTAAAGTGTTTTCTTTTTTCCCCTTCCTCCTTTCATGCTTTGTGCTAAATGAGGCAGTAACCTTTACTTTCATTTCCACCAGATACTCTCTTATATTGCTACTTTATGTAATCATATGCTTGCTTAGAGTTCCAGAGCCCTAATCTTGAGATAATACAGGTGCCTATGGAAATCCCCCCCGCCCCAAGAGATTATTTCAAGGCTATGATGAATTTACAACCTGCTCAGGTCCAAGATGGCATTAGCCCATTCATCAGATGGGGCAATAATTCAAGATAAGTAATTGGAATAAGTCACATAGACCTAAACTGCCTTGTCTCTCCTACATGCCCTTCATTTCAAACTCTTTTTTTTTTTTTTGTTCTTGAGACAAGGTCTTGCTCTGTTCCCCAGGCTGCAGTGCAGTGGCAAAATCATAGCTGATTACAGCCTCAAACTCCTGGTGTCCAGTGATTCTCCCGCTCTGTCTCCCAAAGCACTAAGATTAGAGGCGTGAGCCACCATGCCTGGCCCAAACTTGCCTTTTTAAACCCTTGCATTCTGCCCCAAAATTTGAAATTGTTTCTTTAGACAGTAGCCTGGAACACTTCCCCACTGCTAAATTTCGTAAATAAAGTCACTTTTATTCCACCATACTTCATCCTTGTTAGTTATTTTTGCAAATGTTGAGTGGCCAAATCTGAGTTGACTTACATAGCCAGTCTAAAATATCTCCAATATGTGTGGACAAATACTCACCTTATTTACCATGACCGCATGTCAAATTATCAAGTTAGGACATTGGGATTTGCACTACAGAATCTCAAATATCCTGCTATACTATGGCTTTGAATGCTGCATCATTGCCTGTCTTAAATTATTTCTTAAAACTAAGTCAACTTAAAAAACCCTGTGTTATGAGTTTAATTGATCTGAACCCAAACCACTGCTGCAGGTTGAGCAGAGTAGACAGTGGAACTCCAAAGACAGAAACATATTCATCTTCAGTGGATTTAGTGGTACCATATGAAAGAAGATCACTTAGACCACAACTTATGTTTAAGACTTTTTTTTTAATTTAAGCAGAAGCTTTAGAGAAGAGTAATATGTAGACTGACATGTAAAGATCATAAAGATCCATGTGAATGGATTTTAATAAATTAAATTTTCCTGTGTAATCAGCATCCAAATCAATAAATGTAATATTTTCAGCAGATCAGCAGTTGCTTTTGTGCTTCCCAGTCATTACCACCCTTCAATACAACCCTTCTTCTGACAATGAACAAATTGTTTTGCCATAACTCAAACTTCAAAACACTAAATAATGTAAAGCACAACCTTTTGTGGTGGTATTCTTTTTTTTAAGATTATTTTCACCATATTCGGCTATGCTGTCATGTGGAGCAACAATTTTTTAAAGCTGATGGCTATATAATAGTCCATCATATGATGATACCATTATTTATGTTTTTGAAGTATTGTTTTAATGTCTCATCTTAGATTTTCTCAGGAAAAATAATTATTGTGTTTTCATCTCAGTTTTCTAAAGTCCAGAGAATAGAGGTTTTATTGTTGAAGACATTTTCCGAAAGGTTGATGTTTTTGCAACTCTCCTGTGTTAGTTTATTTGCGCATTGCTATAAAGAAATACGTGAGACTGCATAATTATAAAGAAAATTTGTTTAATTGGCACACAGTTCTGCATAGTGTATGGAAAGCACAGCAGCACCTGCTTCTGGGAAGGCCTCAGGAAGCTTCCAATCATGGCAAAAGACAAAATGGGAACAAAATGTCACATTGTAAAAGCAGGAGGAAGAGGGAGAAGCGAGAAGTGTCACACACTTGTAAACGACCAGACCTTCTGAGGACTCATCACCATTGTGAAGACAGTATCAAGAGGATGGTGCTAAATCATTCCTGAGAAATCTACCCCATGATCAGTCACTTCCCACCAGGCCCTACCTCCAATATTGAGCATTACAATACAGCATGAGATTTGCGCAGGAACACATATGCAAACTATATCATCTCCTTGTTATTAGGTTGTTCCTCATACAATGACCCAACTTTTATCTAGGTTATCTTGATTTTAATTGTTCACCTCACAGTGATTTAAAGCCTAACTCCCCATTCTTCACATAACTATAAACGTGTATCATGTGCCCAGTACTGGCATTTGGTCTTCTGGTTCCACCCATCTGTTTTTAGCTCATAGTTGTTTCTGTTGTTGTTTGTAAGCCTTTGGGGAACTCTCTTGCTTTCTGTGAGTTTGCCAAATATTTTAAAATAAAGAGGTTAATATTTTATATAATATCTACTAATTTTGCAACATGAAGATTTTTCATTCTATCTTGACAACAAATTAGAAGCAGAAATCACATCAGCTAGTTAGAGTTGACCATTTCACTTTTATTAACATAAAACTTTATGGAAAGATGCATGGCTATCCTATTTCAGGCATAGAGAATCATAAATAAGTTCTTTAAAAAAATACATCATACACACACACACACACACACACAAATATATACTTATACAGACTCCAGTAATTTATCTTTTTAAGATTTATTTTTATAATAACATAATTACTTTCATAATTATTTTAATAATACTCTCATTTTTATTAAAAAATCTGAAATCCAATCCACTGCCATAATCACTCTACATATTTTTCATGTGGATATCAATGTATATTTTCTTGTTCCGGAAATATTTTGAGAATCCTATGAGTTCTTGCTACATATGGCACATAATATGCAATCATATTACTTTATTCCCATTTCAAACTGAAAGCATAGATAAAACAAACACAATTTTCCAATACAATGAAAATGTTTAATATTCCTTAAGTAAAACCTATTTGCATTTCTTATATGTAAAAAGATACCCCCTTGTTGGGCAGGACAGTCCAACTAGGACCTCCAGACACACCTGCTGGTGTTCTCCTGCCAACAGAGATTTGAAACCCCCTTGAGATGGAGCTCCCAGAGAGATGGGCAGGCTGCCATCTTTGCTGCTTGGGCAACTTAGCTGTTTCAGCGTTCAGGCTTTGGAGGGTTTAAGCCAACCAGAGGTAGAAATGGTACCCCAGCACAGCACACTGCTCTACAAAAATGTGACCAAACTGCTTTTTAAAGTGGGTCTCCAATCTCATTTCTCATCATTGGGTGGGGCCTCACAACTAGGGTCTCCAGCTACCCCCACCAGTGTTCTCCAGCTGACAGAGGTTCAAATCTCCCTGAGATAGAGCTTCCAGAAGAAAGGGTGGGCCACTATCTTTGCTATTTCGGTGACTTCACCTTTCTAGCCTTTGGGGATTGGAGTGTCCAAGATGACTAAGGGCTGAACTGGACCCCCAGCACAGCATAGCTACACTGTGAAACCATGGCCAGTACATTAGTCTGTTTTTACACTGCTATAAAGATACCATCTGAGACTGGGCAATTTATAAACAAATGAGGTTTGATCAACTCACAGTTCCACCTGGCTGGGGAGGCCTCAGGAAACTTATAATCGTGACAGAAAGGGGAGCAGGTACCTTCTTCACAAGGTGGCAGGAGAGAATTCAGGAGGGCAGGGGCAACTGCCATTTATAAAATCATCAGATCTCATGAGAACTCACTCACTGTTATGAGAACAGCATGGGGGAACTGACCCCATGATCCAATTATTTCCCTCCCTCGACATATGGGGATTACCATTTAAGACGAGATTTGGGTGGGGACACAGAACCAAGCCATTTTATATCCCCTCGCCCCTCCCAAATTTCGTATACTTTATACATTTCAAAATCAATCATTCTTTCCCAACAGTACCCGAAAGTCTTAACTTATTCCAGCATTAACTCAAAAGTCCGAGTCCAAAGTCTCATCTGAGACAAGGCAAGTCCCTTCCACCTATGATCCTGTAAAATCAAAGCAAGCTAGTTACTTCCTAGATACAATGGGGGTAAAGGCATTGGGTAAATACACCCATTTCAAGTTGGAGAAGTTGGCCAAAATGAAGAGGCTACAGGCCCCATGCAATCTGAAATCCAATAGGGCAGTCATTAAACCTTAAAGTTTCAAAATGATCTTCTTTGACTCAATATCTCACATACAGGTCATGATGATGTAAGAGGTGGGCTCCCATGGCCTTGGGCAGCTCTATCCCTGTGGATGTGCAAGGTATATTTCCTCTCTGATCTGCTTACACAGGCTGGTGTTGAGTGTCTGTGGCTTTTCCAGGTACATGGTGCAAAGAGTCAGTGGATCTACCATTCTGGTGTCTAGAGGATGATGAAAATCTTCTCATGGCTCCACTAGGCCATGCCCCGGTAGGAATTATGTAGGGGCTCTGATCCCATGTTTCTCTTCCGCATCACCCTAGCAGAGGTTCTCCATGAGGGCTCTGCCCCTGTTGCAGATTTCTGTCTGGACATCCAGGCATTTCCATACATTCTCTGAAATCCAGGCAGAGTTTCCCAAACCTCAGTTTTTGACTCCTGCACAACTGGAGTCCCCACCCCAGGTGGAAGCCATCAAAGCCTGGGGCTTGTACCCTCTGAAGCAATGGCCTGAGCTGTACTTTGGTCCCTTTTAGCCATAGCCGGAGCTGGGGCAGCTGGGATGCAGAGCACCAAGTCCAGACACTGTACACAGCAGTGGGGCCTGAGCCCAGCCCGTTAAACCAGTTTTTCCTCCTAGGCCTCCAGGCCTGTGATAGGAGTGGCTGCGACCAAGGTCTCTGACATGCCATGGAGACATTTTCCTCATTGTCTTGGTGATTAACATTGTCTTGGTTACTTATGCAAATTTCTGTAGCTGGCTTAAATTTCTCCCCAGAAAATTGGTTTTTCTTCTCTACCACATGGTCAGGCTGCAAATTTTCCACTATTTTATGCTTGTCACCTCTTGAACACTTTACTGCTTAGAAATTTATTCTGCTAGATACCCTAAATTATCTCTCTCAAGTTCAAAGTTCCACAGATCTCTAGGGCAGGGGCAAAATGCTGCCAGTCTCTATGCCAAAGCATAGCAACAGTGACCTTTGCTCCAGTTCCTAATAAGTTTCTTATCTTCATCTGAAACCACCTCAACTTAGACATCATTGTCCATGTCACTATCAGCATTTTGGTCGAAACCATTGAGCAAGTCTCTAGGAAGTTTCAAACTTTCCCACATCTTCTTGTCTCCTTCTGAGCCCTCCAAACTTCTCCAACCTCTGCCTTTACCCAGTTCTAAAGTTGCTTCCACATTTTCAGGTTATCTTTATAGCAGTACCCTACTCTACTTGTTCCAATTTACTGTATTAGTCCATTTCACACTGCTATAAAGATACCATCTGAGACTGAGTAACTTATAAACAAAGGAGGTTTGATGGACTCACAGTTCCGCCTGGCTGGGGAGGACTCAGGGAACTTATAATCATGGCAAAAGGGGAAGCAGGCACCTTCTTCACAAGGTAGCAGGAGAGAATTGAGGAAGGCAGGGAAAACTGCCATTTATAAAACCATCAAATCTCGTGAGAACTCACTATGAAAATAACAGCAAAGGGGAAAGTGCCCCTATGCTCCAATCACTTTCCTTACTTAACATGTAGTGATTATAGGACCCTCCCTCAATATGTGGGGATTACAATTTAAAATGAGATTTGGGTGGGGACACAGAGTCAAACTATATCACTGCTTTTGTCAGTGGGTCTGATCCCGTTCCTTCTCACTGGGCAGGACCTCCCAGCTGGGTTCTCCAGCCACCTCCTACAGGTGGGGTTGGGCCAGCAACAATTCTCTATATCCCTTGGATGGAGCTCCCAGAGGGAGTGACGAGCTGCCATATTTGCTGTTTCTTAACCTTCACTGGTGATACCTCCAGGTACTAGAAAATCCGAGGTGACTAGGGACCGCAGTGGGCCGCCAGCAAACTACAGCAGCCCTATGGAAAAGTGGTTAGGCTGTTACATTGGTGCTCATTTCCCTATCTCCTCACTTGACAGGTCCTCTAGGCCTGGGCCTTCTGCCACCCTTCACCAGAGATATCAAACTAGTAGCAACTTGTCAACTCCTTGGGCAGAGCCTCCAAGGGCAACTGAAAGCCTCTTTGCTACTGTCTCTGCAGTGGAACTGCCCTGGTTACACTTGGACTAATAAGGGATCAGAGATCCTAAGTGCCTTATCCACACTTCCAACAACCTGCAGTCAACCTAGGGAGAGGAGGCCAGTCCATCTCACATGTTTCCAACACCCCCAACTGCTCATCATCAGACATGAAACTTCTGGCTTGTGTCCACAGTACAAATCCTCCATGCTTTGCTGATTGCATTGAACAATTGCTGACCTGCACCTCTCTGGGGTGGAGTTCTCAGGAGAAAAGCAAAAGACTCTGGGCCACAATCACTACTAAGTTCCTTTCCTCTGCTGCCTCCAAACTGGGGAAGAAACATAAACACTGAGATTACCCCAGAGCTGCAGTGGGCAGCCCAGAAATACCAGGCTGTGATCTACAGCCAGCACTCAAGGGGTAGAGAAACTCACACATTCAGAGCATTGGGAGGGAACATGGCTGCAACTGTGAGGAAAAATAGGGGAGCCACATAACTGAGTATGAGTCCACCAATTGACCACTAAACCTAAATGACACCTACTGGATCACACACCAGAGCTTCAACATCAAAATACTTTACCAATATGTTCCCCCTTTGAAACCATAGATAAGAAGTCAGTTTCAAATAAAGACCCTGCACAAAGCTTCAGGCCAGTGAAAATACGCAGAGGAAAAGTCCATAGACTGTACTCAATCTACAGTGCAGTTAATGGAAAACACACACACAGATACAAGAAAGAATCAATGCACAAACTCTGGTAACGCAAATGGCCAGAATATCGTATGTCCTTCAAATGACTGCACCAGTTCTCCAACAAGAGTTCTTCACCAGGTTGAGCTGGCTGAAATGACAGAAATAGATTTCAGAATATTAGTAGGAAAAAGATCATTGAGATTCAGGAGAAGAGCAAAACCCAACCCAAGGAAATGAGGATCACAATAAAGCAGTACAGGAGCTGAAGGAGGAAATAGCTGGTATAAAACAAAAACAAAAACCTAACAGGTCTGACAGAGCTGAATAACACAATACAAGAATTTCACAATGCAATCACAAATATTAACAACAGAATAAACCAAGCTGAGGAAAGAATCTCAGAACTTGAAATTGGCTTTCTGAAATAAGACAGTAAGAAAAAAATAAAGAAAAAGGAATGAACACAACCTCTGAGAAATATGGGATTATGTAAACAGGCCAAATCTGTGTATCATTGGCATCTGTGAAAGAGAAGGGGAGAAAGCAAACAAGTTGAAAAACATCTCAGGAGATCATCCATGAAAACTTCCCCATTCTTGCTAGAGAGGCTAACGTCAAATTCTAGAAATATAGAGAGCTCTTGCAAGATTCTACACAGCAAGAACATCCCCAAGACACACAATCATCTGAATTTCCAAGTTCAAAATGAAAAAAGAAATGTTAAAGGCAGCTAGAGAGAAAGGGCAGGTCACCTACAAAGGGAACAGCAGAACTTTCAGCTGAAATCCTAGAAGCCAGAAGAGATTTAGGGCCTATGTTAAACATTCTTAAAGAAAAAACATCCTCAATCACCAATTTCATAACCAGCTAATCTAAGTGAGAAGAAATATTTTTTTTTCAGGTAAGCAAATGTTGAGGGAATTTGTTAACCACCAGACCGGCCTTACGAGAGATCTTGAAAAGGGCGCTAAATGTAGAAAGACTGCTACCAGCTAATACAAAAACACAGTTAAAAATACAGACCAATGTCGCTACAAAGCAACCACACAAACAAGCCAACAAGATAACTAGCTAACAATACAATACAGGAACAAATCCACTCAAATAAACATTAACTTAATGTAATTGGGCTAAATGCCCCACTTAAAAGGCACAGAGTGGCAAGCTGAATAAAAAAGCAATACCCAATGATACGCTGTCTTTAAGAGATCCATCCCACATAGAGTGACACCCATGCACTCAAGATAAAGGGATGGAAGCAAATGGAAAACAGAAAAAAAGCAGGGACTGCAATCCTAATTTCAGACAAGACAGGCTTCAAACCAACAAAGATAAAAAAAAAAAAAGACAAATAAGGGGATTACATAATGGTAAAGGGTTCAAATAATCAGGAAGATCCAACTGTCCTAAATATATATGCACCCAACACAGAACACCCAGCTTCATAAAGCAAGTTCTTAGAGACTTACAAAGAGACTTAGACTCCCACACAATAATAGTGGGAGACTGCAACAGTCCACTAACAGTAGCAGACAGATAATCAAGGCAGAAAATTAGTAAAGATATTCAGGACCTGAATTCAACATTGAACCAAGTGGATCTGGTGGACCTCTATAAAACTTACCACCCCAAAACAAGAGAGTATACTTTTTTCTCATTGCCACATGGCATATACTCTAAAATTAACCACGTAATTTGACATAAAACAATTCTCAGCTAATGCAAAATAATCAAAATCATACCAAACACACTTTTGGAACATGGCACAATAAAAATGGAAGTCAAGACTATGAAAATTGCTCAAAATCATGCAATTACATGGACATTAAAAACCTGCTCCTGAGTGACATTTGGGTAAATAATGAAATTAAGGCAGAAATAAAGAAGTTCTTTGAAACTAATGAGAACAAACATACAACATACCAGAATTTCTGGGACACAGTTAAGCAGTGCTAAGAGGGAAATTCATAGCACTAAATGCACACAACAAAAAGTTAGAAAGATCTCAAATTAACAACCTAATATCACAACTGAAAGAATTAATGAAGCACGAACAAATCAACCCCAAAGCTAGCAGAAGTCAAGAAATAACCAAAATCAGAGCTGAACTTCAGGAAATTAAGACATGAAAAACCATTCAAATGATCAACAAATCCAGGAGTTGTTTTTTGAAAAAATTAATAAGATATATAGCCCCCTTGGTACATTAAAAAAAAGAAAAGAGAGAAGAACCAAATAAATAAAACCAGAAATGATGAAGGGAATGTTACCACTGATCACACAGAAATAAATTTAACCATCAGAGACTACTATGAACATGTCTATGCACTTAAACTAGAAAACCTAGAAAAGATGGATAAATCCCTGGACACATACGCCCTCCCAAAACTGAAGCAGGAAGAAACTGATTTCCTGAACAGACCAATAATGAACTCCAAAGCTGAATCAGTAATAAGTAGCCTACCAACCAAAAAAAGCCCGGGACTTGATGGATTCACAGCCAAATTCTACCAGATGTACAAATAGCTGGTTCCATTCCTACAGAAACTATTCCAAAGAATCGGCATCATCCTGATACCAAAATCTGGCAGAGACACAACAAATAGAACTTCAGGACAATATCCTTGCTGAACATAGATGCATATATCCTCAACAGAATACTTGCAAACTGAACCCTGTAGCATATCAAAAAGCTAGTCCACCACGATTAAGTAGGCTCCATCCTCAGGATGCAAGGTTGATTGAACACATGCAAATCAATACGTGTGATTCATCGCATAAGCAGAACTAAAGACAAAAACCACATAGATTGTCTCAATAGATGCAGAAAAAGTTTTGGATAAAATGCAACACCCTTTCATGTTAAAAACTCTCAATAAACTAGGTATTGAAGGAATATTCTTCAAAATAATAAGAGCATTATACGGAATGGGCAAAAGCTGGAAGCATTCCCCTTGAAAACCATCACAAATAAGAACGTCCTCTCTCACCCCTCCTATTCAACATAGTATCAGAAGTCTTGGCCAGAGCAATCAGGCAAGGGAAATAAATAAAAGACATCCAAATAGGAAAAGAGGAAGTCAAACTATCTTTGTTGGCAGACAATAACTATTGGGTACTTGGCTTAATTCCTGAGTAATAAAATAATATGGAAAACAAACCCTTGTGACATGAATTTACCTATATAACAAACCTTCACATATACCCTCAAACCTAAAATAAAAGTTAAAAAACTAAGCTGTAATTATGCTTTTTATTTCTAATTTAAGAGTTTCAGTACTCTAAATATAAAAATGTAAATAAAAATGACCCAAATTATGTACATTAAACTATTTACTGCTTCCAAATCTTATGCTTCTATTTCTCCAATATCTCTGATTATTCTATTATGATGTGAACACTGTTATTGAATCATTAACTGCATTTCAGAATGACTCTCATAGAGTAATCAATACTGTGTGAATGTGTCACAGGTACTATATTTATAATTATATGAGTAGAATTGCTAGTGACAGGAATAATTGGCTAACTACCACTTTTTGACCTCTGGCTGTAATCAATCAAAATCTTGATAAAGATAATAGTGCTATTTCTCAGGAAAGGCCATGTAAAATTTCCATCTGTTTTCCAGCTTCATAAAACACCAAATTCTAAAAGAATTTTTAAAAATTATTCACAAATGTGTACATTCTTTGCAGTTTCTAGTTTTGTCTTTATTTGAAGGAGACTACAGAATATAGAAAGGTATAAAATAAGAAACTCTGAATATATGATGACAAATTTCTCAAATACGTTTGAATAGATTATTTATAACACATCTTTGGTATTATAAGCAGCAAATGAAAATACCTTGCTAAGGCAATACATGATTCTTGAAAGAAATATTTTATCAAATTATTTGCTTGGTATTGGTACACTCAATGCAAATGTTGAATGAAAAACCACATAATATTTTTATGGATCTAGAGTTTTTTAACTGTTAAGACCAATACACATTAAAGAAACATTTTTTTTCTGTTTTGAAAAGTTAAAACTTCAACTTTTAATTCTAGTTAATGCAAATGGCAAACAGTTACTATACTATTATTTTGAATATAAGACAGATGGTGACTTGAATTTGTAACATCTCTGAACTTTTTTGGGTGAAAGGATTTGGAGAAATGATATAATTAAAGCAAATATTAATTACTTGAAGGAGACAAATAATTAAAATAGATATGCATGTGTGTTAGTGTATGGTCACAAATATTTAGGTAACATTAAGGCAATGAATGAAGCTATCTTTGATAAAATTTGAGGCAGATAGTTTTAGATAATAAATTTGTTTTAAGCTATCAGATACACACACTATGGAGGTACTGACAAATGAAAACATATTCACACAATCATCTAAATATACAAGCTACAAAACCTGGTTTAAGTGAACTTTTGTGTACTAATGAAATACCAGCTTCCTTGTTAGAGTAATATAAAGTGAAATATAAGTAACTAATTAAAATTATATTTATTGATATTTTATATATAATTTTTATATAAGTAAATAATTTATACATAATATACTAATGCAAATATACATTTAAATCTTGCATAATTACCCAGACTGATTTTATCATATATATAACATATATAAATGTCATGTATATATAAAATTTCTGAATTTATGTTTCTTAATTTGTATTTTACAAATTCTTACTGCCTTCACAAAGACATTAAACAAAGAAATATGTAAATATATATAAACTTTCACCTAAACTATAGGGCCCAGTTTTTTGTTTTCATAGCACTACCCTTTTAATAGGGAAATATAATGAAGTTAGTCCTGAAGATTCATTTAAACATGGCAGGAAAAAAAGAGTTAAATCTTATAGTTTTCTATTGTAAGAGAAGTGGGGATTGAACAAATATTAGAGCTGATGTAATTGATTTTGAATTTATGATATAAACAGAAAAGTAATTCCTTTGAGGATGTATGAATGTATATATGTCTGTAAAGTGTAGCTCTCAGTAAGTGCATTCCCGTGATTTTTTTTCAGGTGTAATGTTACATGGTTCACACATGTAGGATTAAAACATAAAAGAATATTAAATATAAAATCACTGAGCTGTTAGTAATGCAAAGTGGGTGTCTTTTAAGACTGAATTCCCAATGCTTTCAATTTAAAATGAAAATAGCATCTCAGAAGCCTTATTTCTGAACTGGAATAGAGATTAATGCAATTAAAATAAATTGGCTGGCATGGGTTAATTAATTTTTTTCTTACATTTCTGGATGAACCTTTTCTCAAGCACAGGTTATAATTTAAGCCAATATAACTCCTGATAAAAACATCCATATGCGAACCAAATTTTGACTACATAGTATTTACTCCTGTCATTTGCAGACCATTGGATCACTTTTCATATATCATTAATATAGTTCTCCATTACACTTTTCAAAATCCTTATTTAAATAATCCTATTTCTGTTTGGTAGACATCGAGTCATGAATATGGAATGACTTCACCTGACTTCACTTGAAATTCACTTAATTTTCAACTCTGTTGGCTATGAGGTGAGTAGGAAATAATTTTATACAAAATTGCTGTTCAGAGTATACTTCTGTACTGAGAGAAGCTCCCTAAATTATATCTTAAAAGATTTGTGATTTATTTTATAGTTTTATACAGAAGAGTGATTACTCCTTAAATTTCTCTTTTTTTGTATCTGTGTTATTGTGTATTAATTTTTTTTTTTTTTTTTTTTTTTGAGATGGAGTCTCACTCTTTCACCCAGGCTAGGGTGCAGTGGCGTGATCTCGGCTCACTGCAACCTCCACCTGCCAGGTTTAAACAATTCTCCTGCCTCAGCCTCCTGAGTAGCTGGGACTACAGGCACGCGCCACTACGCTTGATTAATTTTTGTATTTTTGTAGAGACAGGGTTTCACCTTGTTGGCCAGGCCGGTTTTGAGCTCCTGATCTTGTGGTCCACCAGCCTCAGTCTCCCAAAGGTTGTGTATTAATTTTACAGTTATCTGTGTGATCACCAATTGGTCAAGTTCCTTTATAAAAATATACATATGTATGTATCTATTTTATATATATATAATATGCCATTAATATAGCTATCAACATAACTGTAGTATATCCAAATTCATATAAACTCTCAAGTCATGTACCAATTAATACAGCTACCAACATAGCGGTAGTATATCCAGATGCATATAAACCCTCCAAAATATTGTTAAAATGAAAAACCTAATGAGTTTATATGCATCTGAATATCCTACTGCTATGTTGATAGTTATATTAATTGGTACATGATTTTCTTACATATAATTTAATTATGCAATACTACTATCAGAAATTTACCGTGTAGCAATGTCTATACATATGTGCCAAAATATACACATATATTATATATAACATACACATATAAATAATAAATTTAATTTTATTTATAATAGTAAAATTTGTATATCTCAGCAATAGGAAAATGTTTGATCACATTATTTAATATCCCTATTGTGGCTGATTTAAACAAGCTATAAATACAGATAGAAATATGGATATTAATTAATATATCTATAATCTCTTCTTTATTGAGTAAAGGCAATTTTCCAAAACTCTTTTGTAGTCAGATTTCAATAATATAAATACAACAAGAAAAAGGAAAAGTATGAGTTTTTGTATGAATATGATGTATGAATATCTTTTGTTTAAATTATACAGAATCTGAAATTGCCTTTTTAAATCACAAAAGAAATAACTCTTCCTCTCTGCTTATGTTCTATATTACATTCTTATGCTATCTATATTCTTAATCTAGATATGCAAAATCACGATAGGTGATTTTTCAAAGAGTGTTTTATGAAGCATATAGTATTTTTCCAAGATTGGTATTAAAATAATAGCTACCTCTCCCACTGACACACTTGCGTTATCTAAAACAAGATATTTCTTCTGCTCTCCAAGGGTTTAACTTTTAATACAAATTCATCCAAATATAAAATTGTCCTCGTTTCTCTTACCAATTTTCCCATTAGTATTTAAATATGCTAAGTATCTCCCAGTTCAAAAATAAAAATAAAATTAATTTTTTCCTTGATTTTCACAATCCTATATATCTCTCTTTTTCATTCTGCCTTTCAACACTCTTCTTACTGTCCTTCTTGGGTATAGCCTGTCCCCAGATATGAGGGTTCAGGGCCTTAGAATATCTTTCTCCTCTTCTCTGACTTCCTTTGGCATGCATTCCCATCCACTTCTTGACCTTCAGTCACTATCTCTTTGCAGATAGCTCCTCCATATTTGCCACCCAAATGTGTTCTTTATATTCTAAATACTGCATATAATTTCTTACTAGATATTATATCAACACCTCAACACTGATCATTACAAACCTAATTTAATATCATGAAACATTTGGCCTCAAATATCAGAATGAATGAACCTTCATAAAACAACACAGAATCCAAGCCAAAAATGTGAAAATAACTTAATCACACCTAATCTACACGAAGCCCTCTGAACATGTCAAACCTACCTTCTTAATATCTGTCTTACATGTTCAAGTCTCTGTCTCTGAAGAAACATCTACTTAATTCAGGTAACCATTGTTTTTTTTATCAGAGTTACCCAAAAAATTGTCTCCAAAATTCCCTCCCCCCAACTCATAGTTTACCTCAGTTCCCATCTCTGATTTATCCATTCTCCAAGCAGAAGCCTGAGGGATATTTGCATACCTTTGATAAAGCCACTTCTTTGCATGTGTCTGCTTCTAGGAGTCCTTGTTGACTCAGAGCTATGTCAAATCCTTTAATATGACAAGTTGTGCCTTCATGGTGTGCCACCATTTACTTTTCCAATCTCAGACAGATATTTACGTTCAACCAGGTTTCACTCTACTTTTGTCTTAACCAATGCTGAATCAAGTATGTATTATATTATTGCCTGCACTTATATTCTAATCCTCTCAGTCCTTTTAAATTAGAAAATTTAATTGAGCCAATCTCCACTGAAAAGGCTTTTCCAAACAAGCTAGGTTTGGTATCACTCCTGTGTACTTAAAATTCTGTTTCTCCCTATTATAATATCTGTCATACAGTATTGCAAGCACGTCTTCAGTTTTTAGTTTTCCTATTACAGGCCAGCAGACACCAAGTACAAAGTCTTGTTCATTTTAGAATAGATTTTATTGCCCAGCACAATTTCTGTTACAAAGTATGTGTTTATGAAATACTATTTCATTAAATGAATAAGTAAACGGAATAATGCATAAAAATAATGTTTGCCCTTTTCTGGATGTAAATCTAAAAGTTATAATGTCATAAAAACATTTTTCTGTAGGAAATATCACATCTTAATCTAATATGAGCATGTAAAGTAAACACTTAGCAGGATTTAGTTTAGCGAAAGTCATCCATATGATGTTATTTAAACATTTAATTTCATCTCATTTTAATTATGCATGTGGTGAGTGAAAAAAGCCCCTCACTGACACTTCTTTCATTCATTTATATAGTCCGTCTTCCCTTACCTTGAATCTGGGCTGGCCAGTGACTATCCTGACCAATAGAATATAAAAGAAGTGACATACTACCCATTCTAGTTGTAACATCCCCTGAATTAAGAAGAAAGCTTTAGGGCTGGTGCAATGGCTCACACTTGTAATCCCAGCACTTTGGGAGGCCTAGGCAGGTGGATGACTTGAGGTCAGGAGTTCGAGACCCGCCTAGCCAAAATACAAAAATTAGCCGGGTATGGTGGCGGGCAACTGTAATCCCAGCTACTAGGGAGGCTGAGGAAAGAGAATCGCTTGAACCTGGGAGGTGGAGGTTGCAGTGAGCCAAGATTGTGCCACTGCACTCTAGTCTGGGTGACAGAGCAAGACCCCTCTCAAAAAGAAAAGAAGAAGAAGAAAGCTTTAAAGCAGTTGGTATGTGATCCATATTTTCCCAGTGCTGGGGGCACAACTCAAAAGTTGAAATGAAAAGAAAGTATTTGATAAGATGGAGCCATACTACATTTAGAAAACTCTTATGTGGATAATGCTGGCTAAGGGTTATTTATAGCAAATAATGATCTTTGGGTTTATGAGACAGATCCCTAGAGAATGTCAAGTAAGACAAATAATCTCACCAAGTATGAACTGGAGATGTGTCATTACTCAAATGCTTGTTCTGTTGGTAGATATCCACAGTGAAGCAGTTGGAAACCAAATCTATTATTCTGACACAAGAGCACATGTCCGTTTGGGGAATATCAACCTGGGAAATAGTTCTTGATGTCCCAGACTTGTCTCTGCTTTGTCTGAGTGTCTTCGTTGCCTGAATTATTAATAACCATAATAATCTCAAGTTAAATTAACACCTAGAATTGTACAATTTTTTTTTTTTTTTTTTTTTTTTTTTTTTTTTTTTTTTTTTTTTTTTTTTTTTTTGAGACGGAGTCTCGCTCTGTCGCCCAGGCTGGAGTGCAGTGGCGCGATCTCCGCTCACTACAAGCTCCGCCTCCCGGGTTCACGCCATTCTCCTGCCTCAGCCTCCCGAGTAGCTGGGACTACAGGCGCCCGCTACCACGCCCGGCTAATTTTTTGTATTTTTAGTAGAGACGGGGTTTCACCGTGTTAGCCAGGATGGTCTCGGTCTCCTGACCTCGTGATCCACCCGCCTCGGCCTCCCAAAGTGCTGGGATTACAGGCGTGAGCCACCGCGCCCGGCCAGAATTGTACAATTTGACAATCGGATTTTTTGTTTGTTTGTTTGTTAGACATCATTGTATTAATCTGGTTTCTCCAGAGAAACAAAACCAGTTTACACACAGGCACGCACGCACACACACACACAGAGACAGAGAGAGAGAGAGACAGCAAAAGGGATTAACCATAAAAATTGGTTGATATGGCTGGGCACAGTGGCTCATGCCTGTAATTCCAGCACTTTGGGAGGCTGAGGCAGGAGGATCACTTGAGGTCAGGAGTTCGGAGACCAGCCTGGCCAACATGGTGAAACAATGTCTCTACTAAAAATACAAAAATTAGCTGAGCCGGGTGGCCATGCTTGTAGTCACACCCACCTAGGAGGCTGAGGCAGGAGAATTGCTTGAGTCCAGGAGGTCGAGGTTGTGGTGAATAGAGATCACGCCCCTGCACTCCAGCCTGGGCAACAGAGTGAGACTCTGTCTCAAAAAAAAAAGAAAAAGAAAAAGAAAAAGATAAAATAAATTTGCTGATACAATTATGGAGGCTGAGAAATCCAAGATCTACAGTTAGCAAGCTGTAGACCAAAACGAGCCTACGGAATAATTTCCATCTAAGTTTGAAGGCCTGAGAGCCAGGAGAGCCAATGGTGTAAGTTGTGATCTTAGTCTACGTTCAAAGGCAGGAGAAGACTAATGTCCTACTGTGAAGACCATCAGGCAGAAGGAAATAATTCTTTCTTAGGCAGCCTTTTATTTTATTCAGTCCTTCCATGGACCTTCCATGATTGAGGCACGTTCACATTAGGGAAGGCAATGACTTGACTCAGTCTACCATTCAAATGTTAATCTCATTCAGAAATACCCTCATACCCAGAAAAATGCTTAACCAAATATCTCATCATGCTGCAGCTCAGTCAAGTTGATACATAAAATTAACTGTCACAGTTACTGTTCCACAAAACTGTAGAATATTTTTTAAAATGGTTGTGATTTTAAGTATGTTTTGCATTGCATTTTTTTTAACATACTAATAGATAACCAGAAAAACAAAGAGAATAGTTTTCATTTTAATTGGGAAATACAGGAAGTAAAAGCAGCAGCCACTAGGTTAAGTATGAAAGTGGGGGATTCGGTGTTATGTAAGCAACGAAATCCCTTAACAAATGAAAATGATTTCATATTAAAACTTCAAATGTTTGAGTAATTTTTGAAAAACTGAGAACTGAGGCATGTATTCTGCTAAGTATATTTCCTGAAATAATGCAGTCAGCATTTATTAGGACATGCAGTTATTGATGGTAGCATTAAAAACAGGGCAAATTAAGGTGTATGGCCGGTTTTGTGCCACTGGTGTTTTCAAATAGAGGACAAATACAACATTTTAACAGAGTTCTACCAGCTGTGCTCACAAGATGAGTGCTCTGGCAATGTTCTCAGCACAGCACACACTCCAACGTGCTTATCTCCTCTCCTGCTGAAAGTAATGCTGCCTTTGCATACATACTTGAAATGTTACATAAGTGATATCTTATTTTTGAAAAAACAAATAGCAAACAATAGACTTCCTGCTATTTCCTGTGCAAATTAATATCTAGCTTAAAAAATCCACATCAAAAAGTCTATTTTTTTTTTTTGAGATGGACTCTTGCTCTGTCACCCAGGCTGGAGTGCAGTGGCACGATATCGGCTCACTGCAACCTCCGCCTCCTGGGTTCAAGTGATTCTCCTGCCTCAGCCTCTCAATTAGCTGGGATTACAGTCATGCACCACCACACCTGGGTGATTTTCGTATTTTTAGTAGAGACGAGGTTTCACCATGTTGGCCAGGCTGGTCTCGAACTCCTGACCTCAGGTGATCTGCTCGCCTTGGACTCCTAAAGTGCTAGAATTACAGACGTGAGCCACCGTGCCTGGCCAAAAAAATCTTATTTTAATAGGAAACTCTAATCTTTGGCCACAATCCAATATCTCATGAAAATTACCAATATATACTGATAAAGGAAAAGTTATTTTAGGAATACCTTCTACTATCTTATCAAAAACTCATGCAGGGTTGGATGCAGGGGACCATGAAGATTTTTCTTCAGGACTGAGCTCTTCATTGCCCCAGCTGCTGGGAGTATTGCCTGCTGACAGCTCACGATAGTGTCACTTTCCAGGAATTGGTTTTAGCTAAGGGAAATGTGAAGAAAAAAGCATGCTCCTTACCTCAGAGGTAGCCTATGTCCAATGGCTGGTCATGGTTGAAATAAAAGGCATGGTCCCTCTGCCTCGATTTGTAACATCTCCAAGAGGTAATTGGCCTTGGAATTCTCAGTAGGATTGGCTCAGGTCTTTGTGGCGACTTCATTGAAGCCTAACTTCTTTCTTTACCCAATCCTAACTCACTTTCCCCAAAAGCCACATGCAATCTTACTACCTGGTTTCCAGCTCCTCGGGAAACTTGAGCTACAGCAGCATTTATTTTAATTTCACAGGGAAAAACATCTGCATAGGGAAATCCTGGTGGAAGGCCACATATTTGTTCATTAACAGGCAGCATTTAACATGGTGAATTTTCTGTTTAGTACCATGTGATCCTTAACACTGAGGACTTAGAAATCTGATTTCTGTGTACACAGAGGAGATTCTTGTCTTTTTCTCTCAGAAGGAGATTCTTCTCAGATCATGGGGACCAAGGTCTTTGAGTTATTTTTTTCAGCAGAAGGTTTAATGATTATTCATTTGTTTGTCAATGGCCTTAGTCATATAACCTGTGGGAAGGGTTTATTTAAGAAAGGAATTAAATGATCTTAAGAGGATTATAAAATGCAGAAATATATCAAAAACGTATTCCAAAAACAATATATGTGAGGAAAGCACAAGTAATTTTGGTAGAGAAATGAAATAGAATCTGAAATAATACTGAAAATGTATATATCTTGGAAAAAACCTGTTCACTTATGTGCTTACAATGTATACGCATGCATTTAAATCAAAGTTTCCTTCCACTAATGAGAAATGGTAAGCAGTCTTTTACACTGTTTACACATGCGATAGTCTTCCTTTCTTCGATAACAAACAAATAGGACTAGGTGAAACATAGGTTAATAATATTTATCTCAATGAAGTATAGTGATAATGAAATAAGGAAACACATGCAAGGCACATAAAATGCAATAAAAATACTAGCTCTTGATACTTTTGCTGTTGTTATAGACATCATTATTACATTACTGTAGCATATTATATATATAGCATAGTAAAGCATTATTATTATAAAGCTGGTGCATTTTGTATTTTTAAAAAACAGATTTCAAGAAGACTGGATATTGGAGAGAATCATAATAAATGCAAGTATTGGACATTCAACTGTCTAGTTCCAACGTGCCACTATGGAATATGAAATAGCACCAAGATTCTCTTTAGAAAATTATTTTTAATTATTTATCAATCTTGAAAATAAACAATTTGGGCTTCAGAGTTCAATTTTTTTAATTTATTTATTTTTTTGCCTAGAACTTTCCCAAGTAGATGTAGCTAGGTATTATTTTTTGGTTTCTAACATTTTAAATAAAACAACTACACAATATCTAATGATGACCTCCTGAACCTTCCAAATACATATGAGACTTACTTATGTATTTCAACTTTTTTCTATGTCTTCTGACTTAGGAATACACACCCTAGGATCTTCAGTGTGTTCAGTTAGGTCACAGTCACGTCTTATTGATTTGGAAGTCAAACTGTTCATTTAATTTGACTGTGCAGCACCACATTTCTTTACACATCCAGACACAGCCTCCAAATATTTCTTACCTTGCTCTCTTTCCCAGACACTGACATATATGAACTATATTAACATTTTCTGTGCTCTATAGTCTCTGGTTAACCCATTCTGGCTTGCTCTACACAACACTCATTATTCTGGGTTCTGGTAACAGTTTCTTTCTTTCATCTTTTTGGGGCTATTTTTATGTTGGTAGTACCACATATGTTACAAGCTATAGATGTCTTTACATGTGGTGCTCTTATGCACAACTAACATTTTTAAAATAGACAATTAAAAAACTAATAACTCCAAACATTTTTTAAAGCACAAAACCTAGACATATCTTATTCAAACTGCTTAAAATTACAGTTGAAAAAAAAATCTGAAAAGCAGCCAGAGAAAAAATATGCATTACTAAAAGAGGAACATAAGAAAAAATTTTAGTAGACTGCTCATAGAAAATTAGTAAAGCCAGAAGACAAGTGAGTGTCATCTCTAAAATGCTAAAAGAACATAATAAGTAATGTTAGAATTGTATACCCCCGAAAAAATGTTTTTCAAAATCGAAGTCAAGATAAATACTTCTTTTCTTTTTTTTTTTTTAATTATACTTTAAGTTTTAGGGTACATGTGCACAATGTGCAGGTTTGTTACATATGTATACATGTGCCATGTTGGTGTGCTGCACCCATTAACTCCTCATTTACATTAGGCATATCTCCTAATGCTATCCCTCCCCGCTTCCCCCACCCCACAACAGGTCCCGGTGTGTGATGTTCCCCTTCCTGTGTCCATGTGTTCTCATTGTTCAATTCCCACCTATGAGTGAGAACATGCGGTGTTTGGCTTTTTGTCCTTGCAATAGTTTGCTGAGAATGATGGTTTCCAGCTTCATCCATGTCCCTACAAAGGACATTAACTCATCCTTTTTTATGGCTGCATAGTATTCCATGGTGTATTATGTGCCACATTTTCTTAATCCAGTCTATCATTGTTGGACATTTGGGTTGGTTCCAAGTCCTTGCTATTGTGAATAGTGCCACAATAAACATACTTGTGCATGTGTCTTTATAGCACCATGATTTATAATCCTTTGGGTATATACCCAGTAATGGGATGGCTGGGTTAAATGGTATTTCTAGTTCTAGATCCCTGAGGAATCACCACACTGACTTCCACAATGGTTGAACTAGTTTACAGTCCCACCAACAGTGTAAAAGTGTTGCTATTTCTCCACATCCTCTCCAGCACCTGTTGTTTCCTGACTTTTTAATGTTTGCCATTCTACCTTGTGTGAGATGGTATCTTATTGTGGTTTTGATTTGCATTTCTCTGATGGCCAGTGATGATGAGCATTTTTTCATGTGTCTTTTGGCTGCATAAATGTCTTCTTTTGAGAAGTGTCTGTTCATATCCTTCGCCCACTTGTTGATGGGGTTGTTTGCTTTTTTCTTGTAAATGTGTTTGAGTTCATTGTAGATTCTGGATATTAGCCCTTTGTCAGATGAGTAGATTGCAAAAATTTTCTCCCATTCTGTAGGTTGCCTGTTCACTCTGATGGTAGTTTCCTTTGCCATGCAGAAGCTCTTTAGTTTAATTAGATCCCATTTGTCAATTTTGGCTTTTGTTGCCATTGCTTTTGGTGTTTTAGACATGAAGTCCTTGCCCAAAATGTTTTTCAAAATGGAAGTCAAGATAAAGGCTTCTTAACACAAAACAAATCTGAGATAATTTATTATAGCACAAGTTATCTATAAAAAAGTTACAGAAAGTTTGATACACAACAGCAGACAGACACTTGGATCTACACACAAAAATATGGAGAGTTCCAGAAACGATAAATGAGGTAAAAATTAAATATGTATAATTTAAATTTTTAATTGCTCTGTAAATAATAACCATCCAGTTTAAAAAAATACAGCAATCCATGGTCGTTTAAGAGAATATGTAAAAGTAAAATGTATGCTGACTATAACAAAGATATTAAAACAGAATTTAGAAGTATATTGAAGAAATATTTTTACAAAGTATGCAAAGCAGTATAATATTATTTAAAATTTGATTGTAATGAATTAAAGTGGTACAATTTACACCCTAAGGCAATTATTAAAAAATTGCCAGGCTTAGAGTCTCATGCCTGTAATTCCAGCAGTTTGGGAGGCCACGGCAGGTGAATCACGAGGTCGGGAGTTCGAAACCAGCCTGGCCAAGATGGCGAAGCCCCATATCTACTAAAAATACAAAAAAATTAATTGAGCGTTGTGGTGGGCACCTGTATTCCCAGCTACTAGGGAGACTGAGGCAGGAGAATTGCTTGAATCTGGGAGGCAAAGCTTTCAGTGAGCCAAGATCACGCCACTGCACCCCAGCCCGGGTGACAAAGTGAGACTCCGTCTCCAAAAATAAATAAATAAATAAAAAGGAATATGAGTAGTGTTATTTTTAAAAAAATTTAGAAACTAGCATAAAAAGAGGAACAAAAAAAGGGGAGGTTCACCAAGTAGGAAAATAGCAAGTAGGAAAATAGGTTCACCAATTAGCAAAATAATAGATTTAAATTCAATGATACTGATATGGAAGGGAAGTGCTGAGAAGCAAAGGGCGTGGTCCCTTTAAATGATAAGGAAGGGGAAAAAGGCATGGTCCCTGGCTAGGGCTCCACCACCAGGCCTGTGCCCATAAGAGGTGAAGCCAGCTGGACTTCCTGGGTCAAGTGGGGACTTGGAGAACTTTTGTGTCCAGCTAAAGGTTTGTAAACACACCAATCAGCACTCTGTAAAAACGGACCAATCAGCACTCTATAAAATGGACCAATCAGCACTCTATAAAATGGACCAATCAGCAGTATGTGGGCGGGGTCAAATAAGGGAATAAAAGCAGTCCACCTGAGCCAGCAGCAGCAACCTGCTCAGCTCCCGTTCTACGATGTGGAAGCTTTGTTTTTTCGCTCTTCACAATAAATCTTGCCGCTGCTCACTCTTTGGGTCCACACTACTTTTAAGAGCTGTAACACTCACTGCGAGGGTCTGCAGCTTCACTCCTGAAGTCAGCAAGACCATGAACCCAGCAGGAGGAAGAAACTCTGGACACATCTGAGGGAACAAACTACGGACACACCATCTTTAAGAGCTGTAACACTCACTGTGAAGGTCCACGGCTTCATTCTTGAAGTCAGCAAGACCAAGAACCCACCGAAAGGAACCAGTTCCGGACACATCCATGGACCTAGGTGAGAAGAGGCATTTTTGTTTTTCTGCCCAAATGTTGCATTTCCCACGACCACCCTAGCCTGCCACGCCCCCATCCTGTGCCTGTAAAATCCCTGAGACCCTAGCAGGCAGACACATAGGCAGTTGGATATCTGAGAGAAGAACATTAGTGGAAGACTCTGGACACAAGTGGCTTGACATCTGGAGGAATGCACTGACAAGCACCAGCATGCAGGCCACTGCCTGGCAGAACCACGTGGAATTTGGCTGGGGCAGTCAAGAGGAGAACCCGGCCTGCTCAGCGCCTGACTCCAGGGAAAAACCTGCCCACTCCATCACTTTCTGGCTTCCCCCATCTGCTGAGAGCTACCCACACTCAATAAAACCTTGCAACTCATTCTCCAAGCCCACGTGTGATCAAATTCTTCTGGTACACCAAAGCAAGAACCCGGGATCCAGAAAGCCCTCTGTCTTTGAGACAAAGCAGAGGGTCTAATTGAGCTGGTTAACACAAGCCGCCTATGGACAGCAAAACTAAAAGAGCACAGGGTAGCACACGCCCACTGTGGCTTCAGAAGCTGTAAACATTCAGCCTTAGACACTGCCATGGGGTAGGAGCCCCACAACCTGTCCATCTGTATGCTCCCCTAGAGATTTGAGCAGGGAGGCACTGAAGAACCACTCTCTGTGTTGCAGGCTCCGCAAGGGGTACAAGGAAACTTTTCTCATTTCAGTACCAATAATTAAATTAACTATAAGTGATATAGACACCCCCACTTTGAAAAGTTTGTCAGATTAGATAACAAAGCAACACTTAACTAGTTTTCTTCTGTGAATATTAAATTCACTTACATATAAAGATGCAGATAAATTAATATCAAGCAGACAGAAATATATACCAAACAAATAATTAACAAACATATAGAAAACTGGGGTGACTATATTATTATCTAAAGTAGTTTTTAGATTATAATATATTAATAAGAATAAAAGTCATTACATAATAATAAAAGGATCAAGTCAAGAAGAAAACACAATATTTCTATTATTAGCTCTGAATCTCACAGAGCTTCAAAATGCATGAAATTTGACAGACTAACACTATTATGGTTGAAGCCTTCAATATACCTCTGTCAGTAATAAATCAAATAAGTAAACAGAATCTCATTGAGGATATATAAGATCTAAACTCTACAAAGAGAACTAAGTTACACTTATAGCGTGTTCTGCCCAACAAAAAGCAGAACACACATTTTTTTTTAATACACACTGGAACACCCATCATGATAGATCATTATTATTGTTATATATTTATGATAAGCCTAATTTCACATAAAATCACTGAAATTATATAAAAATATTCTCTGCCTATAATGAAAAGTAAACTAAAAATAAAAAACAAAATGCTACTTGGGAAATATCCACATATCTAAATTTAATGAAAAAACCCACACATCACAAATAACATAAGAGGTCAAAGAAGTCATAATGGAAATTATATTATATTTATAAGTGAATAAAAACAAAAGCATGAGATATTTTTAAAAATGTAGTTAGCATTTTACTTAATGATTTTAGACTTAATGGTTTTCCCATAGTATGAAAAACATTAGTGATGTCGATTCAATATCACACTGAATTAATATTATATTGTAGATCCTAGCCAATAAAATGAAGAATGTTAAATCAAAGGCATACTCATTGGACACACTAGGAAGAAAGGACAAAATTCAATTTGAAAATTGCGTGATTTTTTATGTAGACTCTAAAAGAATCTACAAAAACAACTGCCAGAACTAAGTAAATTTCACAAGGTTGTCAGACACATGATGAATATACAAAAGGTACGTTGGCCTATTACCTCTTTTTGTATGGCCTGAAAGCTGAGTGGTTTTCATTTCAAAAAATAGTTAAAAACAAAACCAAAAGAAGAATTATATTTTGACACCTGAAAATTGCATGAAAACCAATTTTTTTTCTTCATAAATGAAGTTTCAGAGGAACGCATCTATTCTCATATATTCATATATTGTTTATGGGTGCTTTCTTGCTACAATGGCACAATTGACTAATTGCAACAGAGACAACATGGCCTGCAACGTCCAAAATATTTATTATATGTTACTTTCCAGGAAAAATTGTCCAACCCCCTATTGTATACTATATATGAAAAATTGGAAATTGAAAGATTTGAAAACTGTATTTTTTGCAATAGATACAAAGATATAAGACCCAATCTTGCTGAGATGTCAAATCTCTCCAAATCGCCCTATAGATTCCATAACATTTCAATGAAATCCTTGGCAGAATATTTTTTAGAAACAGGCAGGCAGATCCAAAAATGTATAAAGGAGAACAAATAATTTAAACAATAAAATAAGTTGAAAAAGAGTGTAACTGGAGAGTTCACATTGCATGGATTAAAGCCTCAACTTAGAGCTGTAATAAGATTATGTAGATTCGTCCAAATGATAGAATCACAGATCAATAGAACAGAATAGAATCCTTTTCTATTATAAATAAATGAATAATTAAACTGGTACAAAGGTAAACAGAAAGTTTAATAGGGAAAGTACAGTAGTTTCAACAAATTTTTCTAGAACAATTTAAATTATAGATATAAAGAAAATCTAACCCAATACCTAAAAATTATATTACTCAAAATGAACAACAGACCTAAATCAGCTATAAAGTTTTAGAAGAAAACATAAGAGAAATGACTGTGAACTTGGATTAGATACAAATTTTTTAGAATTGACACAAAAATCACTGTTCATTAAAGAAAAAGCCATTATATAAGTTTCATCAATATGACAATATTCTACTCTTTTAAAGCAACCTATTTGTTTGTATCGTCTCTGATTTCTTAGAGCAATGTTTTTTAATTCTCATTGTAGAGATCTTTCACCTCCCTGGTTAGCTGTATTCCTAGGTATTTTATTCATTTGGTGGTAACTGCGAATGGGATTGCTTTCCTGATTTGGCTCTCCCCTTGGCTGTTGTTGGTGTATAAAATAATAGTGATTTTTGTATGTTGATTTTATATACTGAAACCTTGCTGAAAATGTTTATCAGCTGAAGGAGCTTTCGGGCCAACATTATGGGGTTTTCTAGATATTGAATCATGTCATCTGCAAACGGGGATAGTTCTGCTTCCTTTTTTCCTATTTAGATAACTTTTATTTCTTTCTCTTGATTGATTTTCTGTCCAGGACAACCAATATTATGTTGAGTAGGAGTGGTGAAAGAGGACATCCTTGATTTGCGCCAGTTTTCAAGGGGGATGCTTCCAGCTTTTGCCCATTCAGTGAACAGAAAAATAAACCACAGACTGGGAGAAAATATTTGAGAAACCCATGTCCGATTATCTGATGAAATATATTTTTAGATATAGTTCAAAAATTTAAACATTTAAAACTCAATAAAGATTATATAAACATCCCATAAAAAATGAGCAAAACTTTTAACCAATGCTTCACAAAAGAATGTATATGGATGCAAATAAACACATAGAAATATGCTCAACATTATTTGTCATTTGGAAAATATAAATTCAATTTACAATGAGATACTACTCTCTTTTTATTAGAACAACAATAAATTAATAAAAATAAACAAATAATGATATCAAGTGTTGGCAAGAAAAGAGAGTGACTGAACTCTCATACCTTGCTGCGTGAAATGTAAAATGGTAAAGCCCTTTTGGAGAACATTTTGACTAGTTCTTAAAAGGGTACACACTTACCAGATGATGCTCCTACAATTACATTCCAAAGTGTTTACCCAGGAGAACCGAATGCTTATCTTCACAAAAAATCTATAAGTAAATGGTTTTGGTGGCTTTACTTATAATCACAAAAAAACTTGAAATAACAGAAATATCTCAGAAAAATATTACATTATAAATTAGAAGTATGATAAATCAATTTCATTTAGGGTGACTTTATATTTTTGTCTGTGATCTAATATTGATTTGTAATTTCTGTGATTTATTGTACTTCAACACACCTCTCACTGGTTACATTAAAAGCTACTTTTCTAACGCAAATTTTTGCTTACTGAAGATCAGCAATGCCACCAATCTCTTCTAATTAATTTTATTTTCATTTTTAAATGTTTTGCTGTTTAAATATTTATAAAATTTCAAATGCATGTAATACTAGATGGCATATATAATAACTCAGTATACCTATCACCCAGTCGCAACAATTATCAGGGGATATCCAGTATGTATCACCTGTACTCCACCTACCTATCCCCAGACTATTTTGAAACAAATCTCAGTTATCACATTAATTCATTATAAATATTTCAGTGAGTCTCTGTAAAAGATCACGACTTTTATTAAAAAATCACTATAATACCATAATCACACCTAAAATATTAACAATAATACCTTAATATCATCATATATCAGTGTTGACATTTCCTTAATTGGCTTATAATTTATTTTCCAATTTGTTTGAATTGGGATTCAAATAAGATTCTTAAATTGTGATTGGCTCTCACTTATCTATAGATTTCTATAGCCTTTCACCCATCTGTCTTTTTGTTTTCTCTGTCATCTTTTGCTGAAGAAAATAAGTCATTCTTTCTCTAGTTCCCCAAAGACTGTATTTTAATTATGATATTCTTGAAGTGTCATTTAGTATATTTCTCTGTGCCTTGTATTTCCTGTATATTGGTTGTTTGATGTGGAGCCTTCTTTTTAATTGTAGTAAAATATAAATAACATAATATATACTATTCTATTTATTTTTAAATTTAAAATGCAGTGGCATTAAAAATATTTGCAACTTTGTGTAACCATCATGCTGTGTATTTCCAGAACTTTCCCATCATTCCAAACAGAAACTTATCAATCAATAGCCCCTCTTTTTCTAACTCTCTCCCTCCCCACAGGCATTGGTAGCCTCTGTTTTGCTTTTTGTCTCTATTATATTGTCTATTTTAGGTGCTTATAAATAAAATCATACCATGTTCATTCTCTTGTGTCTTTTTATTTCACTTAGCATAATGTTCTGATTACCTTTGATTGTCAAACTGGAGTCATCACCTGTCCCAGGTACTGTAGGAAGCCGTGGATCATTTCTCATGTGTCTGAGGTTTCCTGTGGGCTGGGTCATCTCATGCTTTGAATTTCCACTTTCTCTGTTTGATGTGTGCCCCTTATTTTGTATCCTGAAGTTCCTGTGTTTTCCCCATTTAGTTCAGACAAGAATATGACCCTTGCTGCTTTCCCTTAAGTCCACAAATCATCCCTAAGCTAAGGCTTACACAATTGACATACTTCAGTAAAGACTTAAAGATAATTGGAATGGTTCAAAGAACAGGAAGCAAAAATCTTTCAATACTAAGCCATGCTGTACTAAGTTTCCTTGGTTATTTCTGATTTTTCTTTCTCATATCTAGCTGTCTGCATTTTCTCTTATGCTAACTTTCAGGAGCTCCAAGAAAAGCGATATCTCTCTTATCATTGAGGAAAAGGCTAATTTTTCTGGGTTAAAATCAGTATAAAACTAACATAATTATCACTATTTATTTACAAAATCATTCCTAACATAGCAAAAATTGATGATAGTTATGAACAGTTCATTTAATTATAAGTTACATGTTCTTTTCTAGGTATTTACAAATTTAAGAAGTACTATTTTATGTGAAGTCACTCTTCAGTGAAAAAATACATAAAAATAAGTCAACTTCTGTCAAGGCACAGCAAATATTTGACGACTTTCTTAAGTTAGAGATTAAAGGACCCAATTATATTTGATGTCAGTCTTCAGTTGAATCCTAAAGCAATTTCATTTTCTGAGATGCTGCAATTGTAGCTCATTCTGAGTCTTGTGAAAGGATAACTTTCAAGTCCCACAACTATTTGAATAAATAGACGACTGGAAGACCATTCTTTATTTAAATGCATTTTAAATGATACAAAACTCCAACATATGACAAGCAATGTGACTCGTAATGTTTATATTCTTTGTTTCTCTTCCTCTTCTCTAAATTTCTTATTCATTTTCTTGTTACCCCTAATAAAATTCTGATATTTTAGTTTTTTAAATCATTTAATCATTAAAAAACTTAAATATCAGAATGCTGTTATATCATGTACCATGTATCAATACTGTATCATTATCAGAATACTATACAATAGTATAAACAATTGTATGTTAACATACTGTTGTGTTAATTTTCAGCCTAACAGATCAATATGTATCTTCTTTACATTGACTGTTTCAACTGTGATATAATTATGCATTTACACAAATGTGGGCAATATGTTTTCCTTAAAACACTTTATTGCAGTATGTATTAAACTATGCTAGTAAAAGTAATTTTTTGAAATAAAAGTAAGCTGTTTTTATGAATAATCAATGGCAATTTGAATTAATGATATGTTTTAATATTTTCTTTCAAAAGTTTGAATAACACACATATGTATTATTCATTAAATTTAGAAAAATAAATGAAAATTTATGTTTTACTATTAATAATTGAATTATTAATTGAATTTAGAAAAATAAATGAAAAACTAATAAGGATGTGCTAAATTTTCAACAATTATTATTTGAATTTTCCGTTGTTCATGAGGTTTATTTGTTATGCCTCAATACCAAAGATAACTTGTGAGGGAAATGTTATCTTCTGGGTGTTTTGCGTAACATCTGATCCCAGATGAGTTCCTCTTTATACTTTGCAAATCTAAGCAAACTTTCTTCCCTCCATCTCTTTTACCAATTTTCTGCATTTAAAAATTTAAAAAACTAATAAAACCTTATAAAGGCAAACATCATTAACTTTAATAAACTACTACAAATTTGTGGAGCCACATAACATACTGTGTAATGTCTGCCATGCTCTTGGGTTCTTTCTCTTCTCTTCTGTATTCCACCCCACATTCACTTAAGAATTCAATTTCTTGTTTGACTTTTGTTCTGTTTACTTATACCTGGAAAAATCTCCTGCCCAAATAAATCTAGGTTCTAAGAAGAATGAAATTCCTTAAATTTATGTGGTAGATACACTCATTTTAAGCTAGTTCTGGTTAGGTACTTTTTTTCCCATCATACCTTTGCCAGAGATTAAATATTGGACACTGCTGGAAAGTTCCTTCATTAGGTAAGGACAATAAAATGTATTTAATTATTCAACTGGAGACTCTTCTTGGGCATCTTTTGATTTATTGGGTAACTCTCTTCTCTAATTGTTTTCAGTTCCATTACCTTCAGGCCTAAATTGAGTCATTGATCCTTAATTCTCTCCTCTTGATTAGATATTGTATGAGTTTTTTGCACCAAATCTTGATTTCTTTTACATAAGGAGTCTATTTCATGCAAGGCTAGCCATGTCAGGACTAGCGTCTAGTTTTTCAGAAGTGGCTGGATGAGGTCACTTTTTAAAGAATTTTATAATTCTTTAAAAAGGAGCAGCATCAGCGTTCCTTCACGGCTTGTAAAGAAGAATAAATACCTACTGTATGTCTCTCCATGCATTTCCCGAATTCAGAATGAGGGTCTATCCTTATTGCTCTGATGCCCACATTCAGGGAACAAATAACTAAAGGCTTCATTCAATTAATCCATATTTCCAGGCTCTGCCTTCTCCCAGTGGAAATTTTTTTAAAATCAAGTTTATTTATTTATAAAGTCAGATGTTTTACACCTCTGGCACTATTACCATTTTCAACCTCTTGACTAGAGTTGAGTTTTTGTATTAGTTCATTCTCACAGTTAATAAACACATATCCGAGACTGTTTAATTTATAAAGGAAAGAGGTTCAATTGACTCACAGTTCAACATGGCTGGGGAAACCTCAGGAAACTTGAGGAATCATGACAGAAGAGGGCAGCAAGGAGAAGTGCCAAGCAAAAGGGAGAAAAGCCCCTTATAAAACCATCAGATCTCGTGAGATCTCATTCACTATCACAAGAACAGCACAGAAGTAACAGCCCCATGATTCAATTACCTCCCACTGGGTCCCCTCCCACAACACATGGGGATTATGGGAACTACAATTTAAGATGCGATTTGGGTGGGGACACAGCCAAACCATACCAGTTTTCTTCTATAGTTTGTCAAATACTTGGCATGTCTTCCGTTATAGAAATACAAATGTGAGTATAGTGCAATAGTCCTAATTCTTTTCTAATCTCGTGAGTACTGCTCTCAGCTGGATGATAATCATTGAGTTATTGGTTGGTCACATAAGACCTATGTGTCAAAATTGTCTCCAAACTAGTAGCAAATTAGTAGTTTTTTCTAATAAAGGCTATTAATCTCTTTTGAGAGAACTATACTATGAAATGGTGATCAAACCATGCCTTCACTATTCTGACCCTTTTTGGAAAAAGTTAATGTAGAAAATAAAATATTTGTTTTCTTTAATATTTGGTAGATTATGCGAGTGAATCTACCTGTGGCTGCAGTTTTACTTGTGGGAATTTTTGTAAGTACAAAATCATTTTTTAAAAAAGCATGTATAGGGCTATTCAGGTTATGTATTTCTTTCTTTCTTTTTTTTTTTTTTTTTTGAGACAGAGTCTTGCTCTGTTGCCCAGGCTGGAGTGCAGTGGCACTATCTCAGCTCACTGCAACCTTTGCCTCTCGGGTTCAAGCAATTCTCCTTCCTCAGCCTCCTGAGTAGCTGGGATTACAGGCACCCATCACCATGCCCAGCTAATTTTGTATTTTTAGTAGAGACTGGGTTTCACCATATTGGTCAGGCTGGTCTCGAAACCCTGACCTCGTGATCTACCTGCCTTGGCCTGCCTCCCAAAGTGCTGGGATTACAGGCGTGAGCCACCGCACCCGGCCAGGTTATGTATTTCTTATGGAAGGAGTTTTCCAGTTTGTGTCTTATAAGAAATTTGTTCCTTTTATCTAAGTTATTGAATTTAGTGACATAAATCATTCATAATATTTTATTATTCTTTTAATATTTGTAGAATTAGTCATATTGTAACTTCTCTGTTAAATTATCACTTTCTTTTTTCTAATTAATCTTCACAGAGGTTTATCCATTTTATTAACTTACTTTAAAGGTGAGCTTTTTGTTTTATTATTTTCTTTTTAATTTTTATTACTTTCTGATTCATTATTTCTTTTTTTTTTCTTTTTCTTATTTTTAGGTCAGTATCTTCCCCACTTCCTTGTCTCTAAGGGTTGAAGCTGAATTTATGACTTTAATTTTTTCTCTGTATTATTATGGACATGTAGTGCTACAAGTTTTCTTCTAAGTATTGTTTAGTTGCATCTAACGTAGTTGATAAACTGTATTTTCATTTTAATTAAGCAGGAAATACATTCTATTTGCTGCAACTTTAGGTCATTTTGAAATCTGAGCCATACCTGCTAGCTTGATCTTTTTCAAGAGTGTCTCTAATAGTCTCAACAATTTAAATTTCTATATATATTTTAGGTAGAAGTTTTCAAGTTCCACTTAAAAAATTATCTTAGTAACTTGATTGACATTGCATTATATCTTAACATCAAATTGGGAGATAAGTGAAACCTTTAAATATTTATGACTTCAATATGTATCCTTCATTGACTTGTTTCCTACATTTACAACCAAGATTGTTATTTTCTGCATACCATACTGAAATATCTTGACCTTTATAAGTGATATTTTTAATACATTCTTTCACTCTTTGTTCTGTAAAGTTCAGTGGATTTTTTAAAACACAGCATTATTTTCAGACAATTACAGAATCCTATAAGTAGTTTCATTGCCATAAAAACTCCCTATGCTTTACCTACTGAATTATACCTACCCTTCTCCAAAGTCTTGGCAACCACTCAACATTTTGCCTTTTTCAGAATATGATGTAATTGGAATCATACAGTATGTAACCCTTTTGGGATGGCTTTATTAACCTAGTAATGTGCATTTAAGGCTCATCCATGTCTCTTAGGCTTAATATTGCATTGTTTGTTTTGTGTACTATAGTGTGAGTATCCATTCACGTATTGAACATTTTGGTTACTTCAAGTTTGGGGCAATTATGAATAAAACTATTAAATATATTTATGTGCAATTTTTTGTTTGGATATACGTTTTCATATTAGTTGGATAAATAAAAGAAAAGAAATTGATGGATTGTATGCTAAGACTATATTTAATTTGTAAGAATGGTCTTTCAAACTGGTGGTACTATTTTGCATCTCCACAAGCTATGAATGAAGAGTTCCTATTTCTTGGCATCTTCAGTTTCTGGTATTGTCCTTTTCCTGTTTTATATTTGTTTGTTTTTTATTTTAAATATTCTAATATGTGTATTGTATTTTGCATTGTTGTTTAAACTTTCAATTATATGATGATAAATGATAGCATCTTTCCTATAGTAATTTGCTATTTGTGTATCTACTTTGGTAAGGGGTTGGTTTAGATATATTTCCATTTTTAGTTATTTGCTATTTTCTTCTTACTTCATTTTAAGAATTCTTTTTATATTTTGTATACAAGTCCTTTAACAGGTACATGTTTTGTAAATATTTTCTCCCTGACTGTGGTGTGTCTTTTAATTTTTTACCAGTGTGTTTTCAAGAGTTATAGTTTTTAATTTTATTAAAGCCATATTTAACATTTTACTTTCTTTTATGAACACATTTTTGGTGTTGTAGCTAAAAACTCATTGCCAAACCTGAAGTCATCTAGATTTTTGTCTTATACATTCTTATAGATGTTTTGCAATTTTTTAAGTCTATGACTTCTTTTTCTTTTCTTCCTTTTTATCTTTTTTGTGACAGGGTCTCACTCTATTTCCCAGGCCTGAGTGCAGTGGTACGATCATAGCTCGCTAGAGAGTCAAACTGCTGTACTCAAATCATCCTCCATTCTCAGCATCCTGAGTGGCTAGGACCACAGACATAGATTATCATGCCCCATTGTTTATTTTTTTTATTTTTTGTAGATACAGAGTCTCACTATGTTGCCCAGGCTGATCTCAAACTCCTAGCCTCAAGCAATCCTCTTACATCACTCTCCAAAGTACTGAGATTACAGGCATGCGCCACTTGTGCTTAGCTGATTTTTTTTTTTAGTTAATTTTTGTGAAAGGTGTTAGGATATCTTATTAGACTCATTGTCAAGCATATGGATTTAAATTGATCCAGTAACATTTGTTGAAAGAGCGTTCTTTCTCAATTGATTTGCCTTTACTCATTTGTTAAAGATTAGTATGTATATATCTTGGACTCTTTAATCTGCCTATTGATCTATGTGTCTGTTCTTTCTCCAATACCATGCTGACTTGAATGCTGTAGCATTAGTGTAAGCCTTCAAAATGGGTACTGTAAGGCCTAAAACTTTGTTCTTCTTTAGTATCGTTTTGGCTTTTTAAACACATATTTTGCTTTTTCATATAAACTCTACACTCAGTTTTTTGATGTCTACAAAATAGCTTGTTTGAGTTGATTTTACCAGGTCAAGTTGGAAAGAACTGACATCTCAACAGAATTGGATCTTTCATCCCATGAACACACAATATCTCTCCATTTATTACAATCTTTGATTTCTCTCATCATAGCTTTTCTGCTTTCTGAATAGAAACTATATATATTTATAAATCCTTTATTCAACTTTATACCTAAATATTTCAACTTTAGTCCCACAGATAGTTTTCTGGTGAATATAGAAATGGACACTTCTAGTCTTAAAGCTGGAAACTTAGCATCTGTTTTATCTGATTCCCTTCCTCAGAAAAGGACATCCAGGCCTCACACAAAAATGGATCAATGAATTGAAACTCACCAAATCACCACCACCAGACAACGGGATGCTGAGTCTCATTCATCATGATTGCTTCCTGAAGCCTTCTGAGTTCCTGTTTCCCTACACATTGTTACATTTCTTCCCTGCAACATAAACCCCCAATTTTAGTCCATCAAGGTTATAGATTTGAGACTGATCTCCCATTTCCTTGGCTGCAACACCCAATTATAGCCTTCTTGGCAATAATTGTTGTCTCAGTGATTGGCTTTCTTTGTGGCCAGCAGCAGGACCTAGACTGAACACCTGATTTTCTGGTAACAGTATAATTTTTCTTCTTTTGTCTATTGTGGTAGGTTACATTGTTTGATTTTTAAATTAAACTGGCACTGCATAGCTAGAGTAAATGTGACTTTGTTGTGTTAATTTTTATATGTTGTTGAATTTGATTTTCTTGTGTTATGTTGAGAATTTTACATATATCTTTATAAGAGATATTTGCTCGTAATTATCTTTTTGTAAAATATCTCTGTTTTTGCTATGAAGGTTATAAAAGTAATTTTGGGAGTGCTCCCTATTTTCTATTAGAGAATGAGGGAACTGGTACCAATACTACCTTAAATGTTCAATAGAATTCACATTCGAAATTATCTAGGACTGGTTATCTTTTGAGAAAAGTTGTTAAACATTATTCAGTGTCTTTAATAGATATAGGCCTGTTCAGTTTATCTATTTCTCCCCATGTGATCAATGGAAATTTGTGTCTTTCACGTGATTTTTCTATTTCTTCTAAGTCATCAACTTGTTGATATAAAGTTATTCACAATATTCTTATCCCTTCAATGTTCAAAGATTGTTATTAATATTCATGAAACTGGTAGTACTGATCTTGCTTTCTTTTTTGATATTGTATTGCACATCTTTTCTCTTTTCATGTTCATTAATTTGTGTGGAGGTTTATCAATTGTATTCATTTTATTAAAGGACAAGTTTCTGGTTTTATTAATTTTCTCTATTGTTTTTCTATTTTCAATTTCATTGGTTCTGCTCTAATCGTGTTGCTTTTTGGTTCTGCTCTAATTGTGTTGCTTTTCTCTTTCTTGCTTTTGGTTTTAATTGAACTTCTTTCTCTCATTTCCTAATGTGGAAGCCTAGATTATTAAATTTTAGATATTTTTTCTAACAGACACATGGGATACTATATATTTCCCTCTAGGTACTGTTTTCATCCCATTCCACACTTTTAGATAAATAGTGTTTTCAATTCTATTTAGTTCAATTTTATTTTTTTAGTTTCTCTTCATGTTTTTTCTTTGACACAGATGTTATTTGGAAGTATATTTATTGTTTAGTCTCCAAATATTTGAGTATTTTCAACTATCTTCCTGTTATTGATTTCCGTGAATTCTATTACAGTATGAGAATATATTTTGAATGATTTTACTTCTTATATTTCTCCTGCCCATGCTGGAATAAAGAACACATCTTTATCAGCTCTTTACTTGCAGATTCTGGTGGAGTGCCTGAGATAAGACCCATAAAAATATGAGGCACTCCCTAAGATTCAGACCCCTGGAAGTTACTCACTCTCAGCTAGTCTACCCTCAGCTTCCAGCAACTGCTCAAAGTAACCATTTAAGTGTTTCTATAAGTTTATAGCTCTTGTTCTTTTGCTCCAAGTAAGCTTTCCTTGGCAGAGATGCCCGGATTTACTTGTTTTTAGATATCATGGTGACTGCTTTCCTGGTGACCTCAATTTTCTGACGGATCCTAGAAAAGTTGCTGATTTTCATTGTTCAGCTTTCTTTTAAGTTTGTTCAGCCCGATTTTCATCAGAGTGATGGCTTCAAAGCTTTTAAAATATCAGAGCTGGAGGCCAGAAGTCTGTTCGATTTTTAAAATTCTGTCTGATACTCATTTTTAAAAACCTGTATATTTCAATATATTTCTGTGAACACATTTAATGATATTTTGTAATTTTCAAACTACTGACTTTTTTTGCTTTGCCTTGCCTGATATTTTTATTTTTTCTGCTTTCTTTTAAATTAACTATTTTTTTTAATTTTTGGAGTTTCCTCTTCTTCAGTTTTGTACTTACCACACATATTATTTCCGTTTTCCTAGGGCATGCATCATTAAGCCACCAAATTGAAAACTAATTGGTATCTTTACTTTCCTGCATAAGCTGGGGTTTTACAACTACAGACTCTGCTGTATGAGTCAAACTTTTATATTTATTTATATAAATACGATGCCATAGATTTAAGTTCTGTCATTTTAAAACCCAACAGATACTTTATTACTGTTTTTCATCGTCACTGTAATTTAGAATTTCCAAATATTTGGTCCTTTCTATCTTCTTCATTTTTGTTTGTGTCAGAGAAAATACCCCTCAATTCTTTTTTCTATTGCCTATATAAATCCTTTTAATTTTTCTTTTGTGTAATGTGCTATTATACTTCCAAGACTTCTGGTGGTTAGTTTCTTTGGGAAGAGGTTTTCAATTAAAAACATACAACTTATTTAGACACCCAGTTTTCATTTTTGTCTCTTTTTATCCCACAGGTCTCTCAAAACAGAATTTTGGCTTTTCCAGATTGGCAAATAGCTCTTAGTTAAATGTGGCTTTCAAGTATGTGTTTACTCCTTTATGTTTCAATTTTCCTTCAATTTTGGCCTGGTAAGTCTTTACCTTCTTTCAAATACCATATATTTCAAAAAGTAGTATTTATTCTATTAAGCATGGTGATTGTACGAATAACTTAACCTGCTCTTAGTGTGTTTGGGCCACTGCAACACAACATTATAAACTGGGCAGCTTACAGAAAACAGAAATTTATTCCTCACAGTTATGGAGGCTGGAAGGTTGAGATCAAGGTGCTGACAGATTCAATGTCTGCTGAGAGCCCGTGTTTCAGTTAAGACATTGCGCTTTTTAGTCGTGTCCTCACATAGTGCAAAGGACAAGGTAGCTCTCTGTGGCCTCTTTCATAAGAACACTAATCCCATCTTTAAAGCCTCCGCTCTTATGATCTAATTTCCCCAAGGATCCCACCCCCATGCTATCACATTGGTGATTAAGTTTCCAGATGTGAATTCTGAGAGGATACATTCAGATCATAGCACCCACCATTACTGAAAATACAAATTAACTTTTCTTATCTGTGTATAAGAAATCAAGAAACTATCAATACAGATGTGTTTATGTGTGTGTATGTATGCCAGTATGTATATGTATTTGTAGATTCAACATTACATAGGACACTTCCCTTAAATCATTAAAAATAAAGGAAATGGTAATGATGCTATCAGTTGTAGTATGAGTAGCAGTAGTGAAAAAGCAAAGCAGAGAAATAGTTTGGTGCATCACTCTTAGCACTTAGTAACTCCAAAAGCTTTAAACACATATAGAAGGAGTAAGTTTATGAAGACAATTTGATAGAAATAAAATAGCAAGTACTTTTACATTTTGATAAATACTTCATTGATGATAAACACAATTCATTTTATCCTCAGAAGAATACCGTTATGTAGGTACTAAAATTATCTCCATTACATACATGAGAGAAATAAATTTCAAAAATTAATGTGATTTGTTCAATATTACACAGCTAATTAATGGTGGAGCTGTTTTAAGAATCCAGAAAATAAATTACTATTGTATGTGGCTAATGTATCTTATAAAGGCAGAGCAAATAATTTTAATGAATCTATAAAATATGCAATTCAAAATTGCAACTCAATACTTAAACACTTTTCCAAAAACAAAACAAGTTTGTCCATGCTGTATCTTCTGGCCAAAGTTCAATAAAACTTAAGTTCATTATGACCATATTCCTAAAAACAAAATATATTATATAAAACGTGAAACAATTTGGGCCAATGGGAATATTAAACTTAGAATGAGAAAAGCACTTAAAATATTAGAATAATTAAAACACCTATGAGAAATAGTCAAAGCTAGTAGTAATAGAATGCATTTGCATAAATGTTGTTTTATTAAATCAATAAACAGAAAAAATCTGGTTATTTCATTGGAGATAATGTTATATATTCTTTAATAATATTAGACAAATTTCAAAAACATTTTACAATGTTTAAAGCATTATCCATTTTCTTTTGTGGCTTCCAAATCAAAATATAAACCTATCCTAATTTATTTCTATATTTTGAATAAAATTATCTATGTAGGCTTCAAATTTGAGGCATAATGACAGTTTCTTCCGGGACTAATAATGGCGACACCACTTCTCTCATTCAGCATTGGTGACAGAGCTTGACATTGTATTACTGCACACCATTATATGCCAAAAGACTTTAGGTGCACACAGCCAATTCATTTGTCATAAGCTTTTGGTCATCCAAGGGTTACTCTGAATTTTATAACCCTAGTAATTGTAATTTAATAGTATTGCCAAACAACTATTTGTAATTGTATAATTGTAGTGCTACAAAAGAATGAGTATATGTTTTAACACAGTTGTAAGCATTTTAAACTACAGAATATTAATAAAGAAATTTTTACTCTGAGCATCATTTTTAAGTTTTAAATGTTAACTAGAAAATAATCAATCAGAATAATGTCAATCATTAAAATATTATGACTTTCATGTCACATGCATGAAAATATTTTGACCATGAATTTTTCTGTAGATGGAAGCATTAGCTCTGTCCTGGAAAATAGTGAATGAAGCTGATCAGTGTGAGGGTAGGAGTATATTTTAAAATACAACAGAACTACTTTACTGAGTAATACAGAGTTTGAAATGGAAGTGATCATTGTTTCTGAGAACTAAAATTCAGATGATTTACAATATCCCATAAATGTATGATGCTGCTGGTTCTATTTATAAAATATACTGTTTGCCTCACTTTATGGTATTTATATCTCCTGTGGTCACACTATTATAAAGCAATTTTTATGAAAGCTATGAAAAAATCTTTAACTTTTTTTCTAACATAAACTTTTTAGAGCACACACAGCATTGAGACTTATAAAAGATTCCACAAAGAAAATTGCATTTTTCCCATTTGATATGTTATCATTAATTCCAAGGAAAGTAAGCACTCATTTATATTTTTGAAAACTGATTCCTTCTTACATTTAAGAACATTTAATGTTGCATATACACATTGAGTTTAGAAATGAAATAGTGACCAAAATGGTTTTTCATAGCAAGTGAATGTTATATTTTATATATATATATGTGTGTGTGTGTTTGTGTATATATAAATTGTGTATTTTCTTGATGCTCTTGAAATTCTGCACTGAATCTAAATGAGATTAAAGTCAAAAAATTATAATCAGTATTGTACAATTTTTCTACTCTCATATGTTTATAGACTGTGTAATTCTTTGTTTTCTTTGGATACAGAGGAGGAAATCCTTCCTTCAAGTCTTTTTACCAACATTTCAGTTATAATTAAAACTTCAGAAATAGAAATTATCTTTATAACAACTCCTTTGCCTTATATAAAACAACAATAACAACAGGTGACAAGTTTGGCTGAGTGCCTAAGAGAATTTAAGTGCCCTGCTTGTGTAGGACCCTTTTTTGTAATGAATGCCTACAATTGAAAGTCAATTTCCCTGAAGAAAGAAAGCCTGATCCCCCCCAAAAAAATTAACAGAAAAACAAAACAAAAACTGAAACAATCTGAAAAAAAATACATTGAAAGTTTTCTTCTAATGCATTCTCAGTGGATAGCATGTAGCACACCTCTTTGGGGAAAAGGAAGATCGAAGTTGAACTATGCAATTTTCTAATTATCCTCACTCTACAAGGAAAAACAAAGGAAGCATCATCCTATGAACAAATTAGGATTACACAAAGATTTTCAGAATAATAAAAACTATTTATCTTTAAATAGCAAAGAGCTTCATTGAAAATATTTTGTCATTTTCAAACTATTAACTGCAATTATTTTCACTCAAATAAGTATGGGCCATATGTAGCTATTGTCCTTAGACACCTTAAAGCTATAATGTCTATTTAAAGGATTTTTAAGTTATGAAGAGAAGAAAATTAAAATTATTGGAGAATATGATAATAGATTTTGGAAGAATGCAGCTATCAAAGCATTTTCCTAAGTTAAAATATCTGATACAGCAGTTACGAAGATAGTTATTAATCTGAGAAGTTTTTTTTACTTTTTAAATTAAGATGTTATTAGCTATTCAAAACTGCTTGTTATTTATTAATAAATAGCAACTATAGGACTTATATATAAAAGATCAAGAAAAAAGCCACGTTATTTTCTGAGAAGAGCAACAAAATCCAAAGATCTATTCTATGGTCCACTTTACAATAACTACGTATGATGCATAGCTTCTGCTGAGAATGGATATTTTCTTTCTAATTTTTACAGATACTAAGTGCTAAATAATTTGAGGTTTCTATTTTGGGTTCAAACAATGTAATCAGGATTTCAAAAAATATATACTCACAAGAAAACTGGCACATAAAAATTGATTTTTTTTTTTTTTTTTTTTTGAGATGGAGTCTCGCTCTGTCGCCTGGGCTGGAGTGCAGTGGTGCAATCTCGGCTCACTGCAAGCTCCGCCTCCTGGGTTCAGGCCATTCTCCCGCCTCAGCCTCCCAAGTAGCTGGGACTACAGGCGCCTGCCACCACACCTGGCTATTTTTTTTTTGTATTTTTAGTAGAGACGGGGTTTCACCATGTTAGCCAGGATGGTCTCCATCTCCTGACCTCGTGATCTGCCCGTCTCGGCCTCCAAAAGTGCTGGGATTACAGGCGTGAGCCACCTTGCCTGGCCTAAAATTGATAATATTTTTAAAACAATAAATCTGCAATATCAGACAAGACATGGTACCATATTGCCCAAGTTAGTTTTAATGTCTCATTTTTATAAGTTAAATGTATATGTCCTTATATGATGTTCTTAAATATGTGTTTCAGAAGATTTTTCAAATTGACTAGAGAAATCACTTAATAATCTCAGTGGGAAATGTAATTATTTGCATATAAGTTTCCGAATATTTCTTTGTTGTTTGCTACATGTTACATTTCTAATTAAAATCACTTGGAGCTTTAGTTAATGCTGCTCCTGTTTCAAACAAAACAAAAGAAACAAAAATTTTGGATAATTATAGAAAAGAGCAAGTTTCATTCAAACATGTTGCCAAAAAGAGGATTCTATAGGCCAATTATAAGAGTTCTTCTTCATCAGAATTATACAAAAGAGAAACTTTAGATAACTATTAGGTTGGAAACATGGGAATATGTGTTTGAATAAAATAATAAGATATGTGATTGACATAATATGGGTTTGTGGATCACCACTTCTCCAGAAGTGTTCTTTATCCTATTAAATTTATCAGAAAGTTTCTTATGCACTTTATCAGGAATGCAAACTTTTCCCAAAAAGGAGGCTGTGAATATTATTATGCAGCATGTTTCAGATCAGAATCAGAACAATTTTTGTTTGTTTTTTTGTTTGCAACTCTGTGAAATGAGATCTACAAAACAACAGAAATCATTTAAAAACCATAGACATCTAAACTCTGATTAAAATTGACTGTGAATAGTCCATCATCCCCTACTTTCTAATTAACGGCCCTGATACACTATAAATCTTGGCATTCTGGTTAGTAGCTACAAATACAAAATGTTCTACAGTAGAAGAACTGTATGTTTCCATTGCACAACAGTCTTCAAATATTTCTGATAAACTATAAGCAAGACATTTTCTTTGCAATTTTTTAGGAACTAGGCCTCTAGGAATGTTGAAATCAAATAATACAAACAAGTTTATTGTGGTTTGGGAATATGATTTATTGTGCCCTTTAAAAATAGTCCAATTGGAAGTTATAAGGAATAAGGGTTATTCTTGAAATGAGTACAGAAAAGGCTTCTATTTAATTATTTGCTTACATGTTAAAATATTTATTTAATTTAATAATTTAGACGTATTTGGTTGGTCTTCCAATCCAGAGGATTAATCAGAGTTACAGCATTCTACCTGATCACATTTAGAGGTCAATTTCCTCTTTTAGAATTGCACAAGAAAATTCCAGAAATGAGAACTATATTTTTTCTTCCACTGTGATGATGACTGAGATTTCCATGCTGACATTTGAGGGATATGCTGGAAGATGAGTGGCTGAGTCTATTCAATGCTAGGTATTTTTTTTTTCTTGGCCATAGCAAATAGTGCAGTCTAGCAGTATAACCAATCTCTTCTTTCTTTCTGTGCTTTGTGTGTTTACCATAATTTATTTGCATGAGGCTTGCATTGAACCCCTTAGAGTTATAACAATCTATTTTAAGCAGTTGATAACTTAACTTCAATTGCACATGAAAGCTCTATGTTTTTTACTCTCCCCCTTGTTACTCTTTGTGCTATTGATGTCAGAGTTTACTGCGTTTTATATTGTGTATCCATTAGCTAATTCTTGTGGTTATAGTAATTTATAATAATTTCATCTTTCAAATTTCATGCTAATGTTAAAAGTAATTTTTGTGGCATCATAACAGTATTGGAATACTCTGTTGGTTCATATAGTTACTGATGAGATTTGTATTTTTTTGTTTTTTGAGACGGAGTCTCGCTCTGTCACCCAGGCTGGAGTGCAGTGGCATGATCTCGGCTCACTGCAAGCTCCGCCTCCTGGGTTTACGCCATTCTCCTGCCTCAGCCTCCCGAGTAGCTGGGACTACAGGCACTCGCCACCACGCCCAGCTAATTTTTTGTATTTTTAATAGAGACGGGGTTTCACTGTGTTAGGCAGGATGGTCTCGATCTCCTGACCTCGTGATCCACCTACCTCAGCCTCCCAAAGTGCTGGGATTACAGGCGTGAGCCGCCGTGCCCGGCTGAGATTTGTATTTTTGTATGCTTTTATTTTGCTGTTTAACATCTATTCATTTTAACTTGAAGAATTCCCTGTAGCACTTCTTGTAGGGTAAGTCTAGTGGTAAGAAACTTCCTGTTTTTGTTCATCTGGCAGTCTTTATCTCTTTCAATGATAAAGGATTGTTGTGGTATATATAGTATTCTTGGGACCATTTTTTAATTTTAATATTTGAATATGTCATCTAAGTTTCTCCTGGATTACAAACATTCTGCAAAGAAATTCACTGATAGTTTTATACAGATCCTCTGTGAGTTAATGAGCCACTTTCCTTTTGCTGCTTTCAAAACTTTTCACAACTGAATTACGATGTGTCTGTGCAGACGTAACCTCTGGGCTCCTTGAATCTAGATGCCCATTTTCCTCCTCAGATTTGGAAAGTTTTCAATTATTGTTCAGTTAAGTATGCTTTCTTCCCATTTCTCATTCTCTTATCCTTCTGAGAATTTCATAATGCATATATCATTTCACTTAATGGTGTCCCATAAATATTTACTTTTTTCATTAGTTTTTAAATTTTTGTTCCTCTAACTGGAAAATTTCAGATGACTTCTCTTCAGGTTCACTAATTATTTATTTTGTCTGATTAACTCTGTTCTTAAAGCTCTCTATTAAATTTTTAATTCAGTCATTGTATTCTTTAGCTGTAATTTTTTATGGTTTTCAATATCTTTGTTGAAATTCTCATTTTCTTCATGTATTGCTTTCCTGATTTGGGTTTAGTTGTCTATCTGTGTTCTCTTCTAGTTCACTGAACTTCTTTAAGATGGTTTAAAAACTGCTTTTCAGACAATATGTAGATTTCCATTTCTTTAGGGTTAGTATTGGAGCTTTATTACTTTCCTTAGGTAGTGTCATATATTCTTGACGTTATAGTCCTTGTACTTTTTCATATGTGTCGGCATATTTGAGAAACTGTCCACTTTTTCCAGTTTTTACAGGCTGGCTCCAGCAGGGAAAAACCGTCATCACTTAGCCCTGTCTGGGATTCTGAGAGGGCCAGTTGGCAGAGTCCCTGAGTGGGCGAGGCTTGCTGCTGAAGTCAGCAGGATTGGTCAGGCAGGGTCCAATGCCAGTGCTTTGTAGGTTCCTGAGGCTTCTGGCTAAGGCTAAAGTTGGGAGAGACCGCTGTTGTGAGAGGTTTATGGTCTGGCAGGGTCACTTGGCTTGGTTCTGTGTAGGACATGACTTGCTGGTAGGGACATAGTCAGACGGCAGCTGGTGAGAGCTGTGGCTGGGCAAGGTTCCTGGTGGGGTCTGGAGTTACCATCAAGGTCCATGCATATTGACTGCTAAAAAACCCCACCCCTTTTTATGGACCTAGCTGTCCCACCCCCGCCCCCCAACAACTCTGCCCCAGTATAAGGAATGAGGCAAGACCAAAGCAGTCCTCTAGGACAAAGACCCAAATCACTGGGGAAGGTGGAGGTTTATGTCAGTCTTTCCCCCTGTGTTAGTCTGTTTTCACAACACTGATAAAGACATACCCGAGACTGGGAAGAAAAAGAGGTTTAATGGACTTGTAGTTCCACATGGCTTGGGAGGCCTCACAATCATGGTGGAAGACAAGGGGGAGCAAGTTATGTCTTAAATGGATGGTGGCAGGCAAAAAGAGAGCTTGTGCAGGGAAACTCCCATTTTTTAAATCATCAGATCACATGAGACTCATTCACTATCACAAGAACAGTGCAGGAAAGACCTGCCCCAATAATTCAATCACCTCTTACTGGGTTCCTCCCACAACACATGGGAATTGTGGGAGTTGCAATTCAAGATGAGATTTGGGTGGGGATACAGCCAAACCATATTCCCCCACTGGAGAAACTGCAGACTGAGGGTATTCTTCTCAACATTGCACTGTGCAGGCTTAGGAGAGAGGTGATGTGGACAAAGTGGAATTTTATTTTTGCTCTTTTTAATATTTGTGTGTGTTTATACTCTGTTAGGGTGCTGTAACTCCCCCTTAGAGTTCAGAATTATCACAAAGTCATTATTGTCTGTGAATAATTATTAAATTTGTATTTCTGTGGCACACCTAGAGCTGGGGACCCCTTATTCCACAGTCTTGCTGATGACTCTCTCCTTAAACTCTCAAAACAGATTGCAATCTCTTACTATTGTCCTTCCACCAAACCCTTCGTATTTTTAATTTACTCAACTTCAATGGTTCTTTCTTGGATTGTGCAACCGTATCTCCTCCAAACCCTTGAAAAATCTTTGCCTTGATTCAACATTAGGCAACAGTGCTTCTTCTTCAGGTTGTCACTAAAACCCAGCTACCTCTTAATCCTCATTTCAATACCTTCCCTTTACAGTAATCCTTATCTCAGAACTCAAAAGCTTGACCGCATTTTTGAGAGGGGAAGTTAATACATCTCACACTCTTTGTTCATAGTAAATAAACAGAGAACAAAAAAGGTTAATATTTTATGAAATTATCTCAACAAATTTTTTTGGCGTTATGGCATTAACTCTCTTTTCTAGGAACTGGAGAAAGTCATTACATACTTATGCCACACAAAATCTAATTTTCTAGTAAATCATAGTGCATGGATTTATTTTTGTACATATGCAAATATAAGTTTATCATACAAAAAGATTATCAACACAAATAAATCATCACATTACTTCAAAAACTCTATTCCTCTCTGTCTCTCTGTGGGCATATATATATATATATATATATATAATATATGTATGCCACAATAAAAGCAGAATAGCTATAGTCATATTTCATATTTTTATTATTTTCACCTCAATTTTGACTTAATGTGCTGTTTGAAATATATTCCTCTTAAGTACACAGACTTCTAATATAAATATGACCTTTAAAATGGTGGAATTTGAATCATGGTGTAAAACAATCATAGTATTATAGTTAACAGTGCCTTATGACTTTTATTAACTGATATTTTCCTAGCTTCCTCAATAAAATAAAAATCAGCAGTGGTATTGATGCCACTGATTACCTAATGTAAATCATTTCACATGTTATTTAATGATGACATTTCTTAAAAAGGAAAAAAATAAACCACTTAATTAAATACCAATTTGTATCACTTAAAGTTAAGCTTTAAGCTATTAGAATAAATCATAGTTAAAACACACATAAGTCTTTTATCATAGTTATCTGACTTCCAAATAATCTTTTCAACATTGTTCTTTTTCATTTAAACTAAGTAGAAAGTTAAAGATAGATCAGTACTTCAACATTTATAAAATGTTAAATATTAAAATATACCTGTTTTTTTCTGATTCTTTAGAAATAAAATGAGCAGGAGAGACAAAATAAATTTGGCAAAATTAATTGTAGTGTTACAGAGGTTTCCTGTTCTAGTTGAATGAAATATGAAAAGATCTCTCAGGCTTGGTCTATTTTCTTCATACTAAAAATGAGACAAAACAAAATGTATTTTTCCAAGTTTATTTGAATCTTATCCTTCGTTCACAATTTTAAGCAAATATCATTACATAAATATGCCATACAAAATTTAAGTTTCAAATTAAAATTTTAAACAAATTCTAAATTAAATTCTATATTAATGGCAATATCTATATACTGTTTCTTAAAAATTAATTTCTGGTACATCTAGAATGAAAAAGTATTCACCTCTAAGAAGTAGAGAATGGAGAAAATTTAAATGAATATTACTAAGTAAAAAATAGCCAATCAAAAAAGCTGCATACTGCATTCCAACTATGGGACATTGTGGAAAAGGCAGAACTAGGGAGAGAGTGAAAAGATCAGTAATTGCCAGGGCTTGGAGTAAGGGAGGTATGAATTGTCAGAGCACAGAGGATTTTGTACAGTAAAATCTCTCTATATGATACTATAACTGTGGATACATGTAGTTACATATTTCTCAAAACTCACAGAATATATACTGAGTGAACCCTAATGTAAATAAAGATCTAAAAATTGCTTTTGCCCAGCTTAGTTTCTAAGTTGGCCTAAGAAATACGGAATATAAATAAAATCAGCATATACAAATAAATAACATATTAGTAGTTCTGTTATTGACACACCTTATTATTGTTAAAATATAATTTATTATATCCACATCAATAATCATTTGTTGTATTACTAGACTGGATTAAGTATTGTATTTAAAGTCAATTGTTGAATTTCCCATAATAAATTTTTAGAAACTTATTAAATCACACAGAAGTTATACATTTATTTTATTAAAAATAGTTAAGCTCCTTCAGTGAACACTGCATTCGAGAAGTTCTGTGTAAGAGAAACATATCAGATGAGTTCTCAATGACTGCTTTAATAATAGGGGGAGTAGACAGATGTGCAAATGTTTAATAAGGCAAAGTCATACAAATAAGGGGATAAAATGATGAGTGGAAGGAGAAGAAGGAAAATTCAACAGAGTTGAAGTGATTGGGCAAAAACTCTTCTAAGAGAAATTGGCATTAATCTATGCTTTGAAGTGTTGCAGTATGTTTAGTCCCTTGTTCAGCTAAGTCCAAGTTCTTGTCCCATGACCAAGAAGAATAAGGCATGCAGCCACAAGAAAGTGAGTAGAGTAGGATTTATTAAGCAAAAGGAAAGCTCTCAACAAAGAGAGGGGACCTGGAAGCAGGTTGCCATAAATGGTGCTGAGTTCTGGGTCTTTTATATGGCAAGAGCAAGGAAGTCTTCTGTGGGTTCTGCACAATATGGGAGAGGTAAATTTCCCAACTAAGAGTGTTGCATCTGCGCATGTCTGGGGTTGGCCAGTGACTCCATCTTGGTTATCACCCATGAGTGCCTAACTGAAACCTGAAGGGGGCTAAAACCACAATGCCAATGTCATTTTAATGACATTATAATGAATTGCATCAAGTTAAGAACATTCAGGTTGATTTATTGTGTCTGCACCTAAGTTCAGACAGTCTTTTCTGAGCAACTTCCTGGCATAAGGGGAAGTTCTGGACCACACTTCTTTCCATTAGCTACAGGAGTGGTGCAGGTGTGGTCTCACACATATTTGTCACCTCCAGAGATGCTCCCTCTCTATCTGCCTAACAATCCTCTAACTGCTTCCTCTCTCAAGAGGAGTGTTTCTTGAATTGTTACAGCTATTCAATGCTTCTTAGATGTTCCCAGTAACTTTTCTTAATAGGTATGTGGCTTTATATTGGTCATTTGCTACTCTTCTAATCTACAAATGCAAACAGTCATATATATAAAACATATTTTTACGTTATCTCTCAAATGTAGTTGAAGATTAATTCAATAATTACAGGAATGTGGAATTAAAAGTAATGATTTGGCAATATAAAGTTCACGGGAATTAGTGGATAGTGTTCAATCAAGGGCCATCCTATAAACAGAAAATTCCAGAAGAATACCTTAAAAAGCATGTGCACTGATTTGTCTAATATAACCTTTGGACAAATAAGTAAAAATGTTTGTAAATAAAATTATTTAATTATATGGGTTAAAAGATATTTTTTAATCCTCTGATTGCCATTCTGCATTTTATTTTGTTACAAAGTCAATGAGAAAGCACTGAAGGGTTTGGACAAGAAAGTAGTATGTTAATCCTTGGCTTCAAGAATGTGGATCTTGGATGGGCATGTGGCTAATGCCCATAATCCCAGCACTTTGGGAGGCTGAGGCAGTGGACTACTTGAGTCTAGGAGTTCAAGACTAGCCTGGACAACATGCCAAAACCTTGTCTCTCCAAAAAAAAAAAAATACAAAAATAAAATCAGCTGAGAGTCGTGATAGGTACCTGTAGTCTCTGCTACTTGGGAGGCTGAGGTGGGAGGATCACTTGAGCCCAGGATGTGAAGGTTGCAGTGATACACAATTATGTCTCTGCACTTTAGCCTGGGTAACAGAGGGAGATCTTGTCTCAAAAAAAAAAGTATATGATCTTACAACAGTATTTTATCTGAAATGCATCAAATATTAGAATTTCATGATAGTACATTAACAAGAAGCTGCAGATTCATTTGAATGAGAGAATAGCCTTAAGCAATCTAGTGGTGTTAATGAACACTCAATTTTCTCTTTGTGCCCCTTCTTTGTCATTTATTGTCTAGATTTGCATGTCAGCACGAAGCTGAGTAGTATATTTTTATTTGGTCAGGAATCTTAAATAATTTTTCTTCCTTTTGTTTCTCAACCCACAATAATTTGACATTCAACCTTACTTCCCCATTGAAATCACCCTCTTAAGTCATCAATAATCTCTATTGTGCTGACTTCAGAAAACCCTTAGATGGTACATTGACTATTAAGCAGCATTTGAAATTATAGGCTACATTATCCTTCCTGAAGCATTTATTTTATTTTACTTTATTCTGATTTTCCTTTTACTTAGTGGATGCTCTTACTCAGAATTTTTTGTCATCTCTTTTTCATTTATGTGAACCACAAATACTGATATTCTTTCTTTTCTGAATTTGCTGTCTATTCACTTTTCATGTTATCATTGTGCTGTGTGGTCTTATTTGCTTTCAGGATTTCAATTATAATTAACATTTCATAATATGCAAATGTTCAATATAGACACTGTAGACACTACATTTGTATTTCCATGGCATTTTTGGATTACTCAGATTTCCCACAGACCTTACAATCTTAATGTTTTTCCCTTACAAACTAGCTTATCTTCCACCATTCCTTTTTTAAGTGAATTATAGCTGCACCACTTATTTACATAAGCTTTAAAGCTGTGTTGCCTGCATTAGCAAACTAACTTCCTTAGAGGGTATCCTACTTAATTGGTCTCCACTCGCATCCAGAAAGACCTTGTAAGAGAGGAGTCTAATATTGTTACCACTCTCATAATCATTTTTATAATTTTGCCAATTCTAGCCCAAGGCTTATAAGAACTACTTTTAATATTTTTTATATTCTATAATACTACATTAAATAGATTCAGAAACAAACAACAAAGACTAATTGGCAAACAAGGAAATGCTGGTTAAAGTAAGACAGGAATATAGTTCATTTGGCTCTGTTTCAGTCCCTTTCAAAGGGAACTTGCTTCCTTTCATCACTTTTCCTGAATGTTTTTCAAAGGATTTTCTGTATCTGCAGCATTTAAGCAAGTTTCAGAGATATGTTCCTATTCTAGACTGTAAAATGTGAAGAAAAGGAATGCTAGGTTCAACAACTTTGTGTTTAGGGAAATAATCGGGAAATTTCTCATCACATCCTCTCACATCCTGTTTTCTGACACTTGGTCTTGAATCTATAGTTAAATACTATAAAAACAAGGAAATAAAGTGTGTAAATGAACAGGCTAGCTAAAAATTGGGAAACTATATATTTGGGAAAAACAGGCAATGGATATTGCTGGATAGTTAGACATCACTCTGAGGTAGGAGGCCTGACCCAACTCAGGAAGGGAGACTCAACTCCAGAGGTGGGGGCATGAACACCCGACCAAATTCAGGACTAGTTAAAACAGGTCTGGGACAGAAGCAGCTTTCCCTCAGACATGCCCAACAGTGTGACATGTCAGTTTACTATTGCCATGGCAACATCCGGAAGTTATAGACCCTTTCCATGGCAGCAGCCCTATGACCTGGAGGTTCCCATCCTCATACTAGAAATTTCTGTGTACATTGCCCCTTAATTCGCATATAGTTAAAAGTGAGTGTAGGCTGGGCACGGTGGATCACACCTGTAATCCCAGCGGTTTGGGAGGCCGAGGCGGGTGCATCATCTGAGGTCAGGAGTTCAAGACCAGCCTGGCAACATGGCGAAACCCTGTTTCTATTAAAAATAAAAAATTAGCCGAGCGTAGTGGCAGGCACCTGTAATCCCAGCTACTCGGGAGGCCGAGGCAGGAGAATCACTTGAACCCGGGAGGCGAAGGTTGCAATGAGCCCAGATGTGCCACTGCACTCCAGCCTGGTCGACAGAGCTAGACTCTGTCTCAAAAAAAAAAAAGTGAGTGTAAATATGAGTGCAGAACTGCCTCTGGGCTGCTATTCTGGGCACACTGCCTATGGAGTAGCCCTGCTCTGCAAGGGGCAGTACCTCCATGGTTGCTGTAACCCTGCTGCTTCAATAAAAATTACTGTTTAACATCTGCTATGTATAGCCACCCTTTCTACCAATCTTATGTTATCCCCTACGATCTAGTTACATCACAGAAAGAAGAAATGGACTGCCTAAAACATCAAAACCTATGATCTTCACTTCTAGACAATTTCCTTCTATCTCTCTGCATTTTAATTCAATTCCTTTTTTGTGAGGAATAAACTTTCCTATGTACAATGTGCCACTGCTGATATCTACTCTCCTCTGTTCTCTAATCTACTCCTCCTAACACATGTGCACACACACAACCCAACACACACAGAAACACACACAGACATAATTCACCTGCACACAATCTCATATACATGCACATGCACTTACACATACATCACCTTTCACTGCGTGTCAGATACTCTCCTTGGATGTTTGAGAAAACATTCATACATTGCAATAAGTATTATTGTCTACTGTGTGCTAGGCACTCTTCAATATAATTTAAATACAGCAGTGAAGACAACAGTCCAAAAGCTTGTACCTACACCCGGTAGATGTCTCATGCAAATATACAAAGAAAATTATATAGTACAGTAAGTCTTCAGTAAATATCATGAATAGGTTCTTGGAGACCACAACTTTAACAGAAACAATGTATGATGAAAGCAATTGTACCCTAGTCTAATTTATGTAAATAAGATTTGATTTCCTATGGCATATTTTTGGTCACAAATACTTCACAAAGCATTGTAAATAAACACCAAAAAGCTTCTAAAATTAAACATTGAAATAAGTGTGAGCTATACATACACTTAAGAAAGATTAATAAAACAAATAGAATAATTATTTACCCACTTATTCTAGTTCAGAGTCGTGGGTGGCTGGAGTCTGTCTCAGCAGCTCAGGTTGCAAGGCGGGAACCAGCATTGGACAGGACACCGTCCCATTGCGGCAAGCAGTCTCCACATCCACACTCACAATGGGGATCACCCAGACAGCCAATCAACCTAAGATGGACGACATAGGTGGGAGGAAACTGGAGTACCCAGAGAAAACCCGTGCAAATGTGAAGAGAACAACAAACTCCTCACAGTGGCTCTGGCTGGGAATCAATTTTTTTTGTCATCAATCTTATAATAAAAGGATGTTTAACAAAACGACCTTCCTTATTTGAGGAACTGGCAGGTAATACATACTACAGAAACTGTAGAATGGGGAAAAGTGTATAAGAATTCTGAGTTTTAGTAATTATAGAGAGGCTTGTCTAGTGTATCTTGAGAAAGCCTAAATACAAACTGGAAGAAATTGACAGAGATACACATTCAGATATGGGGTGGGAAACTTTCCAGATAGAGGGGAAAGCTCGTGTAATGATATGGTGTTCATGGAAACAGAAAGGAGGTCAGTGAAGCGTTAGAGAACAGAAGCAAAGAATACAAGAGGTGAGGTCAGAAAGGGAAAGAAAGGTCTAGAGCCTTGCAGTTTACTTGGATTTTAGGTTTAAGCTTTGTGCAGGGAAGGGACATAATCTGACCTGTCGGTACCCAGGACTCCTCTAGCTACCTTACTGAGCATAGACAAGAAGGAGCGAGATCAGAGCAGTGGAATTATTTAGAAGTCTTCTGCAGTCACCTATGCCAGAGATGATAGATGCTCAAAGTTCACGCAAGGATGGAGAAAAATAAATGAGAAGTAGTTTGATTATTAATATATTCTGAAGGTAGAGAGAACATCATCTCTTCAAATGTTGGATGAGATGTCATGAGAGAAGGAGGAGCAGTTACGCATGTCTCTAAGATTTTCAAGTCAAATGACAGCAAGATTGAAGGACTGCTCTCAACTGAAATGGAAAATGTGTGGGCAGATACTGATTTGGGCAAAATATCAGGAACTCAAATTTGAATATCCTGAGCTTAAAATACTTAGAAGATGACCATTGTAAGTACATAGCTGCATATGGGAGTGAAGAGTTTGTGAGTAAGGAAGGGGGATCAGATTTTAATTTTTGGTAGCTAATCCTCCAACATACCCTCGTCAAATGAACCACAACTTCCTATATGGGCTTGGGTAATCTTTTCCTGTTGAAGCTATGCTGGTTTTGTGACTTACGTGTAATAAATAAAATGTGACCAAACTGATGTTGCATGACTTTAAAGCTTAAATGACAAGAAGGCTTGATTGGTTGTTCCACTTACCTTGGAGGAAGCCAGTTGTTATGTAAGAAGCATACATACTTTCAGTTTGCACATGTGAGTTTGGCTAACTTTAGTTTGTTATGTTGTGAAGAAACCCAAGGTAGCCACATGGAAAGGACACTTGGAGAGAAGAACATGTCTGCAAAGCCTCTGGTTGTAATAAAACTAGTCATACCAGTCCAGATTCCAAATAGATAAGTGTAAAAGACATTTTGGATGACCAGTCTAATTAAGTCTTCAGATGGCAGTAGCCAGTTCCGCTGACAGCTAACTGCAACTGTATGATAGGCTCCAAGTGACAACTGTTTAGCTGAGTTTATTCAGCCAGTCTGAACCCTACGAAATAATAATAAATTATTTTCTACTGCAATGTTTTGAAGTGATTTGTGGTATCCCAGAGTCATCAGCATATAGATGATACATAAATCCATGTGTTGAGATGCTATCTTCAAGACAGTGAATACAGGAAGAGACAAAAAGTAAATCAGGTACAGAGCCTCAAGCAATCCATCTTTAAGTTATCAGGAGAAGACAGCAAATGGCAATAAATTAGGAAGCCAGGTTAAAAAAAATGTTGAATCAAAACAGAGAATCATCAACTGCATTTTATTCTGCTAAAATAGACTTCGAATGAACTGTTGAAGTATTATTTGGGGATTGAAGAACTGATGTATTTAAAGAGAATGGCAAAAACCTAATTGGATAGGTTTAAGAGAACATGTTTTGGAGGCAAAAACTAAAGAAAAATTTTAAGAGTTTTATGGTAAGGGGACAAAAAGTCAAGAGACATTAATGAGGGTTCTACTAATAATGTTTTGATCATAGAGTAAGCAAACAAGGAAAGCTGAACTATTCAGATATTAGCAATCATGAGAAGTTATTAGTACCTTTATGGCTGATGGATTTTGAGGAAACTAGAATTAGGTGGAATCGTTGAGGAGGGATCAGAAAAACAGCTCCGACATGGAGAAAGGCAGAAGAGAAAGGCACTAGCTTTCTCTCCTTTATCCTGTAATATTTCCTTTTGCTATTGGATCCCACTAGCCTTACCAAATGAAAAATCAGAAAGACAAGTAGCCTGGGAGATGTAGGTGCTAGGGGCCAGCCTCAGGATACAGAGCATGCAAGGAAGGCTGGAGCATGGAGTGGTAAAAGATCCAGACAGCAAAAGCCAAGCACAATAATACACAAAGAAAAAACAGTTTATTTAAGGAGAATAAGGCCTGAGAATGACAAAAAACAAGATCAAGATTTGTATACTTTTCAAGAAGAGTAAATGATGTTTACTCTAAGTTACGTCTGACATATTGCCAAAACTCTGACTGTTTAATGTCTATTTAACAAGTGTAGTGAGATACTATTTTAAATACTACTTTTTGAAAGTCTTTTCTCTAATTTCTTACAATGAGCTTACATCAAATAGCAACATTTCTAAGAAGAGCAGAAAATTGTTCATTTGCTATCATATGTTAGATTCAGAATAGAAGGTAAAACAAAACAAAAAATCTAACCAGGAAATTGAGTATTTGGGTTGAGGCCCAAGCAGAGGGCAAGGTGGAGAAGAAATATAAACTGCTAAGTATTATCCAATTTCTTATGCATGTGATGAGGACATTCCCAACTGTTGCCTTTCTTATGGACAGAGCATTTAACTATATAGAAGATGCATGGTTACGAAGGATCTTTTCATTAAGAAATTCAAATCATATTTTGGACTACCAAAAGAACAATGCAAGATGCTCAAGAATTTAAAGAATTTAATTGATTAGCCCTACTAACACCAACTTCTTCAATGAGCCTGTCCATTTGTAAACACTCTTAGTGAAACAAAGAATTCGATTCTTAATAATTATAATGAATTCTATCACTGCTAGTTATCCTTGTGTTTAACTCATGTTTAAAGTGTTTTTCGTTTGTCTATTTGTTAACAAAGAAGCAGATTAACAATTTAAAATGATGTATATGTATTTACTTCACAGGAATATTTCCTTAATTGGAATTAGCTCATATGTGCATATTGATTGCTCCACCTCCACCAAAGAAAATAAAACGTTACGGAACTTTAACAAAGTAGGAAGTTCTGTGTGTGTGTATATGTATGTGTACATATGTGTGTGTGTGTGTGTATATATATATGTACACACACATACTTTTGTATAGTTTTAAAAATTTTAAGGAATTGGGTAAGTCTGAATAAAGAAAGATGAGATTAAAAATAAATGGAATTTTTGCATGGTATATTTATATATTATTTTAATTTTAGATTGATTTCCTCTCTTTCACAGTTCACATGAGGCAAAGATTTAAAGAAAATAGGAAAATGGGCTTATCTTAAAAAGATTATCATAAAAAGCTTTTCTGAAACTTTTGAATTCTACAGTGTAAGATGTGATGGTACACAACACCTCTTTCCCATGTGTCCCCCCATAATGGTTTCCTAAACTTCAAAGAGATAAGCTATTATAAACCTTAAGTCACCTTGCTTGAGCTCAGGCCTTTGAGAGTGAGGTATTTAAACATATTGGTATTAAGTATGAGAATAGCTGTTTTTATTTATACTTGAGAGTGAATATCTTATATTTTGTCAAAGCAAAATATTTCATATAAAAATGAAAGTACTGCAAACAGCAGAAAAACAATATGCAGCTCCTTCAGCTCCTTAATGTCACATTTGCTAACAAATCAAAATGCTTTTATTTCTCTTATATTAAAATGCAAAATAGGTTTCCAGAGGTCATTTATGCAAACTTTTAAAATTTGAAATATTCTTAGATATAGTTATATTTAGAATTGTTATATGCTAATAACTAACTTCAAAAATTGTTTCCAAAAGGCTTAGTAGTGAAAGCATGTATCTATTATATACAACAGTGAGAAAAATAGTAATAAAGTAAAAAAAATTTTCTTATCTAAAAATAACATTTTTATTGATAAAGAGTATATTACATTTAAAGGAAGCAGTTCTTAAACAAACTCCCAGTAAAGGTGAGGAAGATATTAAAATTATAATTTTGCCTTTTTATAAGTGAAAAAGGAAAATACCAGGGTATCGAGAAATGTTATTGTGCCAGACAGAATGATAAAGGTCGAGTTCATGACTAGGGGTTTGGGTGTACCAGTAATGACCCAGAAATGAATTATTCCAGCTGAAAAATATTTTAGCCAAAATCAAATATTATTTAATAGAAGTAAAATTTTCAACTACACATTTTTAGTTCAAAATTGATTTAATACCTAAACTAAACTTGGCAGTATTAACAAACAGAAAGGAAGAGAGAAAAAAAAATTGAGGCATAAGAAAAGTCACAGATAATCATTGTTTTCAAAAAAGGAAAGTTTCGTTAACATATTCAGACACTATTTATTTTTTCCTTTTCCCAAAGCTCGTTATTTCTGGTGTGTTAGCAATCTTCCAAAAGCCACTTAAACAAGTAAAATTGGTCAAAAACAATGCAATACATTTTATTTGACAGACCCAAATTTATTTGTAGGCCTTAAAAGAATCTCAACTATTTACCTTTATATTCCACACACAAGTGAGTTTGAACACAATATGGCCTAAAAGTATAGTATTCCAAAAGCTTAAGTGATTATATTGTTTGAGTGTCTAGAGATTTGGTACCAACTGTGATGAAAATATGCAAATAACCTAATTAAAATTTCCTAAGGGGTACACCTTATTTATGCCTGTTTGTTCTTACTATATTCTTGGAGGAAGTATCTGTTTTGTTTCGTATTGCACCTACTTTGAACACAGATTGTAGTTCTTTAACATAAGTGCATAAATTACAGTGGGTGAAATTATTTAGATCATTACCTTCTCCAATGTAAGGTTGATCATTTCTTGAAAATTGCTACATATCATATTTGACTTGATTTCATGTAATTGCTTAATCAGTAATACATTCTTTTAATTGTTCTCTCAATGTTGTTAATTCATGGTTTTTGCATTTCCCACTTCCTCGTTTTTAAAATTTTCTAACATGAATATCAACATAGTAATTCTCAGTTACAAGTATAACAAAAAGAATATCTTGATATACCTAGACCAAAAATATATATTCACTAGCTGAATTATTAATCTATTGAAAGTGATTTTAAACAAATATTTGGAATAGAAGGGGGAAAATTTAGAAAAGGAGAAAGTATCTATCTCAAAATTCATATAAACTAAAGTATATCAATGATACGTAATGTATAATAATGATGAAAATATCCAATAACTCAATGATGATGATGATGGTGATTATGATAATTCAAAAAGAGTATGCATTGCTTTAATTATCCTGTTCATTCTCTCTGAACACAAACTGGCAAATCTCATTCCTGTCCGTTGACACTGAGGGCTTCCTCCCTGGGCCAATCATTAAAATGTGTTTCTATGAACTGCAAAGATACAATACCATGCACTAGATTGAGCCTCAAGACATACTGTTCTGTTTTCCAAAATATTTAATGGAGAAGTTCCTGAAGTATAACTTCTGGGTTACCTACCATGAAATGTGCTGTAAATGATGCTGCTTTAGGCAATGCATGTCATAGCCCAGTATAGAAATATTTGCATGAAAGTGGAAATATGAAAAGTGGGCTCAATGCTCATGAGATTTCTATTTCAGCCTGAAATTTGTATGTGAACATAGAAATAATAGGATAATATAAATCAGTAAATAAATGCTGAATGCAAAGCATCTGCCTAATGCAGATTTCTTTTTTATTTATTTATTTATTTTATTTAATTTTATTATTATTATACAGGATTTCTTTACATAATAATCTTGCTATAAATATAGTCTTACATTAATTGTATTGCTATTCATTTTAAAATAATAAAATTTTTTTTTCTATAAATTTGGGGACATATTTTATAAGAAAATCCATTATGACATTCTTTAATATATCATTAATAAAAAAAGGAAATTATTAAAATAACTCGGTCCCCCCAGAGTATTTGGGGGAAAGGACCTTGAGTCAACTCATCACAATTTTCAGTGCTAGGAAGAAAAGGAATATATGTTACCAGTGTGATAGAAAGAGTCAACATCCACTGGGCCATGTGAGCCAGAGGGTAGAACCACTGAATTATCATGGGAAACTAGGCAGATCTATTATTTTTCTTGGATGCTTTTCTTTCTGTTGACACTCAGGTTTATGAATCAATCCCCAATTGCTTTGTGATAGTTGTTTCAATGACTTTTTCCTCAGTTGTCTCCCAATGTCTAGACTTAAGGCTGGAAAGCAAAGAAAATAGTTAATAATTTTTGTTTGACATTACGTAAATGAAAATAATTCTCCCCAAAATATTAAGAAATTGTTAAGTTAAAGACACTAAAAATGCAGGGAAACACTCTTCCTCAGCCTCTGTTTGCCTGGTGGTAAGCAATACATATTTTCTTACTGGAGACAACACTTTCTCATTGGCCCGGGGAAGGCACCCTCAGACACACCAGAGACATCTGGGAAGCGGTTTTACTATTCTCCCATATTTTCCCATCTTTTAAAAGATGAAAACTTCTCTCTCCTTTGTCTTTTCACTATATAGGATTTATGGTTCTTTATTAAAATACGATTTAAGTAAAGCCCCTAAGCCTCTGCTTTGTGAGAAATAATTTTGAACTAAAGCCTCTCCGATGTGATAAGAATGGGTTAATGAACTTTTGCTTGTGATGGGAATGGGTTAATGAACTTCTGCTTGCTTTAATTTTGTTAACTTGGCTGTTATTTTCAGGAGAGTGTCTCAACTAAGAAGCTAAAAAGGGAAAGAAAAGAAAAGCAGTTATGTTTTTTTCCCCTCCGGCCTATACAAACACATACACACCAAGGTGAGAAATGCCTTTCTTCATCAGTACCATCTGGGTCAATATGTAATGTTTTGTGTGGCTGAGACCTAGGGCAAACATGAGTAAGTTAGGAAAAATGCTATAGAAAGAAGAAGAAAATAAGAGAATGAAGTAAAAGAGAACAGGAGAGAAATAGCAAATTGAGTAAAAAGGGAACAGTAGAGCATCGTCAATTACAGTAGGATTTGTAATCCAGTATCAAATACCTAGTTTGCTTATCTCATGAAAAATACAATTCAGATTAAGTAGAATGTAGTTCACTTGATATATGATTATTTAAATAAATGTAATTTCAAGGAGCTATGACAAATAGTCATCCTTTTGAGAGATTCAGTTCTTTCTAACGTGTCTCATGAGACTATTTAAACATAAAGATATTTATGCCTGTTAAAAGAGATTCACTGGACCTATCTTCTAAAGCCACAGGGCTAAAGTATATAGCTGTATTTTGGATTTCCTTCCTTCTAGGAGTAGCCAGAGTCAAAAAAAATCTTTTTAAACTTTGTTAAAAAGTGTGAACGATACAACAAGTTTATTTTAGTATAATCCCTTTACTTCTTTTTCACTGAATCTAAAGTGTGTTTAATTTGCAACAATATTGAACATGTGAGGGAAAAGTTGAGAAAAGACCACTAGCATTATGTGTGAAATGCTCACCCTTAGTCGCCAGAGGAAAGAAGAAGTTAACATGGTCACAGAGGAACACATGGTATGGATGAATTTCTAAAAACTCAGTTTCTGGAAAAGAGCTATTATGGGGAGGTGGAGCAGGAGATTTTCTTCATTTAGAGGAAAAACTGACACTTGCCCCAGTAATTCAGTGTTGTGTCAATTTCCCTAAGATGATACAATTGTGTTATGAGTCTCTTCTGCCTTAGGATTGTGGGGCTAAATGAAAACAGAAGAAAAGGGAATTCTTTGTTGTTCCTTTGTTTGCTTTGTTTTGTTTACAGAATGGTCTTAGGCCAATTTTTACCTTAGGGGTCTTTCCATATTCAGGAAAATAGCCAAATTATAATAATTCTGCTGATTATTTTGACAAAGTTGGACTTGATTCAGTATTTTTAACAATAATTTAAGATATTCATCGGTGTCCTATCTGCAGCCACCTTTTTGTCAGTAATTGCTCAAATCATGACCATTAGCCAATTCACTAAATAAATCACCATTTACAATTCTATGAATAAATGGAATGTGTACATAAAAATGACCATTCGAGAGCTAAGGATTATTATCTGTCAATTAGGATTACTGACTTGATACACAAATAAATAAAACAACCTCAGCTATAAAAGAAACATAATAAATAAAAGGGAATAAAATAAACATGTAATAAATGTAAAAGGTAATAAATATATAATAAAATATTTACATAAAAGGAATAAATAGAAAAGGGCATCATGTACGTATATAATATGAATAATAAATATAAAAACAAAATAAATATGTATTAAATTCTTAATTATAAAAGGGAATAACATAGTCTCAGGTAGCTACAAAAGAGAAAATCTCTTTTCCAAAGACTTTTATATCCAATTAGAAAACTAGAGAGGAACAATCATATGTAGGGTTTTAAAAATCATATCAATATAATTATATGATTCTGATTTAATCACACAATAAATATTTTTTTCTAGGAAAACAATTACAAAAATGTTTATTTCTGAAATGCAATAGACAACTTTTCAATATGTAGGTATCCATTATCAAACACCCTTCACAACACACAGAAAATAGAATAATTAGCTGCCTTTCATATTAACATAGGAGATGATTGGCCAGATTTTCACTATCATCCCATCTCTGATGATACCATTAATCAAACATTGTCATCATCAGCTCCAAGTGGTGTTGCTTAAGGCTCACGTGCCAAGTGCCTGTAACACTAACTTGTGATAATTCAACTTTTGTAAATTGCTAATATAGCAATTTACAATTAGTTCAGAATAATTTTTAAAGTTCTGAATTAAATGAATCAAGTTTTACATTTCTATATAAGTTCACCTAATATAGGTGCCTTTCATTAACACACTATGTTAGATTGTATTATTACTAAAAACTATTCAGTGTTCCTCTCTGGGGAAGATTTATGCTTCCCCACTACGGTGATTTTAGGATTGCATATAACTTACTTTGGCCGATTACAAGTGAGCAGAAATGTGGCACTCCAGAGCAGAAACTTTTAAGAGCCAGGGAACAGTTTGCATGAACGCTTCTTCTTTCTATTTGATCTTGGTAAATGATCTAAATAGATGCTATCCCATCAGCATGGGTTTATGAGTGAAGACGACATGCAATTGAGTTGTAATAAACATGTAGTGTAGGTGAAAAATACATCCTACTTCTTGTAAACCCCTAAGATTTGGAAGTTGTTTGTTATGCAGTTATAACCTAGCCAAATCTGATTAGTACACCACATAAACTAATGGATTAGGATAACATGTATATCTTTGCCTGGGCACAGGCAGTACCACCAGCAGAAAATGAACATTTATATTACAGGCGAGCTCTGAGAGTGTTACAAGAAAATGAAATTGTTATTAGATGCGTTAGTTAAATCAATAAAACAAAAGATGCATACATTAAATATTTCTTCCTATTTCTCAATTTATCTTACTGTATTGCATTTTTGTTCTTGTTTAAATTTATTCAACATATGTTTAAATACCTTCTACTTATCCTATTTACAACAAATTCTACCATGTTCATTGTACTACCATATCGTATTCCAAACTTCAATTTATTTTATTGTTCACATATTGATGCTTATCTATTTGTTTCTAATTATTCACTATTATAATCAAAATTATAATAAGCTTTCTTGTACTTTCTCCCTATTCTTTATGCATGTGTAGAGAATATGAGCAGGTAATGAAATTGCCTATTAAAAGGAAATTTAAATTAAATATTACAAAATGCTTCCACTATTTTCCTCTAAAATGAATATAGAAATTTACACTTCTGAGAACAGAGAGGATCCTTTATTTACCATACACTTTTCCAAACATGCAGTACTTCCCAATCTTTATTTTACAAATATATGGGTAAGAATTAATACCTTATTGCTTTTATTTGCATTGCTGCAATTAGTAGTGATTTTGATAAATTCTTGAAGTATTTATTGGCACTGTGTTTTCCTTTATGTATCAACTGAGCATTTTGTAGTGGGTATTTGCCATTTCCTTCTGCTGTTTACAGTTTATTTTGTGGGAAATACGTAGTGATGATCATTGATCATTCATCTGATTCATGGCATATAATTACCACAAATCATTACCAAATTTCTTTCCTGTTTTTTTTTCTTTTTGCTTGTGCCCTTAGGCTTTCACACTACTATGTTTGACATATGCTTGCATATGTATGTGTCCTCATAAAATAATGTTGTCCATTTCATGTTGAGTGTTTATGTGTTCTAATAAACATAAAATACATGGTTCTATAGATTTTGTAGCTTTCACAGTTCATCAAACACTGTCTTTTTGTTACTGTACATCTTTCTGATTTATCGTTTCTAGCTACTGTGTCATTCCAGGATATAAATCCACATCTTATGTTTGCAAGTCAGTTTTATCTGCCGTTCCTGTGCATGACACATTTGGCCAGGGGTGTGTGTTTCTCTACAGCAAATACTCAACATCTAACTGCTGCATTGTAAGGTAGACACAGACTTAATATTATTAAATACTGTCACACTGTTTTCTAGATAGGCTATTACCATTTATGTGTCAACCAGCAGTACCTACTTGGATCTGTTTTCCCATATTCTTAATGATAATTTATATTATTTGACTGCTTTTTTGGCCAAAATTTAATATTTTATGAAATATACTTGTGTTATTAGTCAATGGTATTATACTATTAACTTGTCTCTTTATCATTTAGTTTGCATTTACGTGGTAGTTTTTTGCCTGTCTTTTATTTATATTCCTGATTTCCCTGAAAAAGAGATTTCTTCCTCATATACATTCAAGGTCTCCATCCTCCTCATTTGTTAACCTAAGAAAGTAGAGTAATAAATTTAGTTACTAAGTTTGGGAAAAATAGCAGGGAAAAGGGGCTACTCTACTTTTTTAAGACACTTGAACCCATGAGGGCCAAGCAGAAGGGGAGAAGAATGGTGAAGGAGAATTCTTGCCCTAATCCCACATTGGACTCTCAGTCTTCAATCTATATTTGTAATCTTATCTATCTCTCCACTGTTTGAGATCACAGATTGGGTAGGGAAGATGAGCATTAATAGCTCTAAGTCTTTAGATACTTTAATAATGGGGTTAAAAATATTAAGAAACAAAATTAAAAAGAGTGGAATTCAGGAGTGCACAGTATTTACACAGAGAAACTTCCATGGAGACTGGAGCATGATGCTGGGGCTTGGACTTTATTTTTTGATAGATGATTTAATTTCTTACATGGTTTGAGAAGGTTACATTGGGCTAAAGGGAGGAGGTTCTTATGTTTGTAAGACTTTTCAGTGCTAGAGTGAGATTTTAACCTAGCCATAGGGTATTTCGATCTTGGTGGCTTAATACAGATCAAAGAAGCTTCATCCATAAATGATTCTCTTTATAGTGAGGTAGAAATACAAGTTAAGGCATAATGACCATAGAAACCTAAACAAAATGAGGGTTCATAAAGGCAGGATTTCAGGAAGCCCACATACCACAGCTTATTTTTCAGGCACAGATTTTCCTACACATGCTTGGCTAAGGCAAAGCATTAGTGTACAAAGAAGAAAAGTGTTTACATGCCCTGTAAGCATCAGGGGGCACAATGATATTTGATTCCGTTAAATTTTGAAACACCTGAATTTCTTCTGTTGCAGAGCAAAACTGAGTTTTATTTTTAATACGTACATGACAGGCCAAGAAAATGAAAGGAGGAAAATGGGCCATGCAAACTGCTGTTAAAGAGAACATCAGATAAAGGGCAGATGATTTCATTATTATATGGAAAACACCCTTAAAGACAGCGAAAAGCTGTACCCTGTGGTTATAGAATATATGTATACATATGCAATTTTAAGATGGAAGATAGTATACAATAATTAAAGTAATATTAAGTGTGGTCAAGGTGTTAGAGTTACTGAAGATGTAGATACATATACCTTGTTTGGGCTCTGTGAGATGCTGGAAAAATTATAGAATTAAGCCTCTTAAGCAGATACAGATGAAAATTATGAATGGGATCTCAGGCAAGATAATTATCTATTAAGTGTATGCCTGGTTGGACAAATGGAAAAAAGTATTTCATTGGTGGTATTACCAACTGAGTGAGAAAAAGGTAGATAGAATTGATTTGAATAATAGATGATTCTAGGAGAAATATAAGGAATTGATTTCATATTACTTATAATGAGAGGCACCAACATATCAAACCTGGAAGAGAATGTTAGAAACACAAATGTCTGAATCAGATAGAAAAGAAAAGTAAAAGAAAGAAGTTATTCAATTCCAGCAACCAATTGGAATTCCTGGGACTCAAACTTCAGAAACATTTGACTAAACTTCAGCTCAATAATCTATTAAGGACAATCTTACAGTAGAAATAAATGTGAGGATAAGGAAGACACCGTCCTTGGTTTCACAGATACAGCAATTCTGTAGCAAAAAGGCAGAGAAAACATCATTGTGGACGCAGGACTCAAATGTGTTATCTCAAGAGATGATGGAGAAACATCACCAGATGGGGCCACCAGATGAGGCAGATCGAGTCCCAGAAACAAATAACATAAGAGGAAATGGATATGATGAGGTTCTGATACGAAACGACAGAAAATCCCCTCAACAAGGAACTGGTGATACTAATTTTTAAATTTTCCTTGATGTCAGCATGTCTCTAAACACAACTCTTTGGGAAAGAACATAATTTGTTTAGACAGATTTTTTTTCCCATACAGGTAGTAAATGCATAGTGAAAAAAAAAGGTCAGAGGGCCGGGCGCAGTGGCTCACGCCTGTAATCCCAGCGCTTTGGGAGGCCGAAGCGGGCAGATCACGAGGTCAGGAGATCGAGACCATCCCAGCTAACACGGTGAAACCCCCGTCTCCACTAAAAACACAAAAAATTAGCTGGGCGAGATGGCGGGCGCCTGTATTCCCAGCTACTGGGGAGGCTGAGGCAGGAGAATGGCGTAAACCCGGGAGGCGGAGCTTGCAGTGAGCCGGGATGCGGCCACTGCACTCCAGCCTGGGTGACAGAGCGAGACTCCGTCTCAAAAAAAAAAAAAAGAAAAATAAAAAAATGGTTAGAGATATCTTGTCAGAGGTTTTATTTCCTTTTCTATTTGGGCTTAATTTCACAGGTCATGAATAATGGACTATTGATCTACTATGATGCTCCCTTAACTCTAACCCACTGGGTTCTTTCTGCTGTCTTTGGCAACAACACTTTTGCCTAGGAGAGCTATTGTGGAGTTGGGGATTGGTTCTGTCTTTCTCATGACTGCCTTCATGCATTTAATCTTAATGGTGTCCTTCCTGGTATTCAGAACTTTTGATTTTTTAATTTGGCAATAGATGGCAAATGACATGGAATGAAAAGCAGAGACAGAACTTTCAGTCTTGAATTCAGTATAGTTTCTATATGGTTTCACTAATATGCTGTCAATTTCAGGCACTTCTGGTAGTAAAATAGAAATTGTCTTCCATGGTCACTGGGGTATTGTGGAAGACATAGCTGTTGGTATTTGAAGAGCAGTCGCAGGAAGGTGGAGTCCAAGTCAGGTTCTAACAGCCTGTCCTGGGGAAAATAGCCTAGTCTTTTAAAATTTAATGGTTAAGAGCAAGACTAAAAAAAAAGTAAGTGTAGATAAATAGCTTTTGCTCACTACTACTTCTAATTCAAATGGCTTTTTCCAGGAATCCATTCAACTCCCAGATCTGTTGTTTTTCACAATATATTAAGTTTGTCATTTCTACAGCCCCAAATAAAATAAATAACAATTACTCTTTTGTGTCAGGTTTTTCTGAGTCAGAATCCAGGGTTTGAAATCCATTTATATTTTTTTTCTGGTATTAGTAGATTTTCTTTTGAATTATGAGATCTCATCCCATAGTATGGATATACCTCCATTTATCTGTTCCTGCTGATATGTGTTTCCTGTTTCAGGCAGTAAAACACATAAATAAACAAACAAAATAAAATAAACTGCTTATAAACACTTCTGTGTAAGATATTTTGTGGACATTTGTTTTTATACCCTTTGGGTAAATTTCTAGGAGTAAAATTCCTGAGTCACAGCAGAGATGGATGTTTAATTTCATAAATGCTATAAATAATTGCAGTTGCTCTATAAATAATTGATACAGTGGTTGTAAGCTCTTGTAATATTTCTGGAAACATATGAGAGTTTCAATTGCTCCATATCCTTTGCAACATTTGGTATTATAATTTCTTTTATTTTTAGCTATTCTAGTGCATATGAAATAGTATCCCATTGTGATTTTAACTTGCATATTTCTGCTGACTAATAATGTAGCTCATCTTTTATGTACTTAATAGTCACACATATATACACATACCTGCACACCCATACATACATATTAATGAAAGATCTAATAAAATATTTTATCAATTTCTACATGGGTTGCATAAGTTTTTACATGTATAAAATACTTTGTAAATAGTATGTTAAAAATATATTTTCCTAGCCTTTGGCTAGAATACACACACACACACAACACACACATATATATGTAGACAAGTGGTAGTTTTTAATTTTGCAAAAGACTGACTTAGCCGTAATTTTCTCTATATTTTATTTTTACCTACCCAAATTTGCAAAGGCTTTTCTTTGTTTTTTTGTTTGTTTATTTCTTTAAGTTTATAGCTCTAGATTTTGTGTATGCTTCTATAATCTATTTTTAGGTAATTTTTGTGTATGATATGTATAAATCAAGATATATTGTTTTAAGGTGAATATTCAATTCGTAAAGCCCTATTTTTAGAAATACTTGCTTTTCTTCAATTCATTTACTCTGGCATTGTTTTCCATAAAGTTATTGTGGTGCTTTTGTCATAAAATATATTGTGGGATCTATTTCTGAATTCTCTATTACTTCATCATTATATATCATTGTATATATAGTGTATATTATATAATATTGTATATATAGTGTATATTATATATGTAGTGTATATATAATGTACAAAATTTTTACACTATGTATATAGTATATATTCTATATACAATATAATTATGTAATGAAGTTATATAATTATCATTATATAGTATAAAAATAGATACATTATGTGTATAATATATACTGTATATACAATATAATTACATAATGCAATTATATACTTATATCTTATATTATATATTACACAATATAATTATATAATATAACATATAACATAATATATAACATATAAATATATTTACAATAAAACCATACAATCTCCTTTATGGGCACGGTGGCTCATGCCTGTAATCCCAGCACTTTGGGAGGCTGAGGTGGGCGGATCACGAGGTCAGGAGATTGAGACCATCCTAGCTAACACAGTGAAACCCCGTCTCTACTAAAAAATAGAAAAAATTAGCTGGGCGTGGTGGCAGGCGCCTGTAGTCCCAGCTACTTGGGAGGCTGAGGCAGGAAAATGGCGTGACCCCGGGAGGTGGAGCTTTCAGTGAGCCGACATCGTGCCACTGCACTCCAGCCTGGGTGACAGAGCGAGACTCCATCTCAAAAAAGAAAAAGAAAAAAAGAATTAAAATCAGGCTGAGTAATTTTAATTTGTTAATATTTATCAAAAGTTTTTAGTTCTTTGAATTTCCAAATATATTTTAGATTTAGCTTGTCAATTTCTACCAAATTTATTGCTAATGTATAGATTAGGATGACATTTAATCTACATGTCAATGTGGAGAGAATTTGCCTTTGAAAAAATATGAGCCTTCTTACACACGAGCATAAGTTTTTTCTACTTATTTAGTTATTAAGTTGCTCTTTCTTTATGTTAAGATGTCCTTTTGTACCAGTTTAAAATGCATATAAATCAGTGATAATATGATTTTTTTAATGCTTTAGAGACTGAGCAATATCTTTTAATGAGAGAGGAGGACTACCTTTTTCAGTCTGTTACCTGGGTATGTTGCATGATGCTGAAGTTTGGTATATGAATGATCCCATAACCCAGGTACTGAGCACAAATCTTTATATGTTGAAAAGCATTTAATAACTTTAAACACATATGAATCATAAAATATGCCCATGGAGACAGCCTCAGCTGTGGCACCTAGGTCATTTTCTAGTGACAACAAAGCAAGTAGCCATATCTATGACAGCAGGTGCAGTGGCTGTGGCCCTGAGAGGACTCCATGGCTGTCCTGGGTATCTCTCCTGGCCCTGCCCTTCCCTTCTCAGGTCCTGAGCCAAGCAGTATCACTGAGACACAGCAGAAGTGGCCTGGAGCCATGCAGCTGCTCATCACATCTATCCTGAAGAGCAAGGAGGAACCTAGGACATTGTGGTGGCATCAGCCTGCCCTTCATGCATGTCAGTGAAGATCTGAGAATAAAACCCAGAAGTGGAGTGAAATGAGTACTGTGGCAACATAGAGCCCACAATGGCTATTGTTTAGTGAAAAGTGGTGAGTACAGTGTGATAGGTAATGAGGAAAATGCCTTGAGTGGCTCAGAAGCCACTGAAGCCATGACATGAAATATATTAGCTTACAAATTAGGTGCTGGTGAAGGCTGGAGGCCAAGTATAGAAGAGTTCAACAACAAGAAAGAATCACAGAGGAGGATAGTCATGTTGTACTTGAGGAACTGAAGTAGAAAAATTAAAAAATTGATTATCCTTTTAAAATAAAAAATAGTAATAATAAAAGGTTTAACTGTAATAGGCATTAGTAACCCACTTAAAGTAAAAGTTAAGAAGAAATACTAACTACCTTTCTGTAAAAACCGTAAAACATTAACCTTATCTCTTTCCCACATATTTTATAAAATCTGTAAATTTCTTTTTCTTCTTGCTATAAGACTGCAAAGTCATAAAATAAATAAGTATAATTTAAAAGACATGTTTTTCCCAAAATGTAAACTAAATCTCAAAAATGTCACATAATAATTAACTGCTTTTGTTCTCACTTCTATAAACTTGCTTCCTGCATCACATAATATCCGCCATCAACTGCTTAAAAGGCAACTGCTTTCTTTGTCTTGTGCTCAGACTTTTAGGATGCATGTCCACCGAGCCGGTGTATACCTTAAAATAAACTCTCCTGCACCCCATTCTGTCTCTCCAGCCTCTTGATTTCCCGCAACAGAACAAGAACAAAAGCAACAGTTTGATATGAAAAAGAAGCATCACAACAGTAAAGAAAATAATATTAAATTAGCTAGATAATAAATTTCAAAAGACTTACCTGATAATGAGAAAGGTGAATATGAAGAAATGTTAGAGGCTTCAGAGGAAGAAAGCATGAATAAGGAAGCACTAAATCAATGAACTGCTCTAAGTGCCCAAGTGCAATAGAGATGATGCAGTTCGCAGAAGAGATGTGTTCAACACTCCAGTTATTAGCATAAACACTCTTACTACAATACCATTTTTCTTATTCTTTACAATGACTTAAATGCTGAAATATAAACAAATTATAATTCACTGCCAAGAATTAAATGTAACCTTAGCGATTGATTAGACTGAAAATGTCTAAATGATACATAAGGTCTTGTGCCTTGTATTTCACAAAAAGTACAACACAGTGTCATCAGTCCAAAATTGCATTACTTTTATAAGGACACCAGCTAATTTGTAGAATATATTATGTAACTTCTTAGGCTTTAGAGAGTGAACGATAGCTTTTCAAGATAAAGAAGGACTATTTTTTTTTCAGTTTTTTTCTTTTCTACTTTTATTTTAGATTCAAGGGTACATGTGCAAGTTTGTTACCTGGGTATATTGCACGATGCTGAAATTTGGGGTATGAATGATCCCATCACCCAAGTATTGAGCACAGTACCCACTAGTTAGTTTTTCAACCCTGGCCCCATTCCCCCCAAGTAGTCCCAGGGTCTATTGTTACCCTTACCATCTTCATGCCCATGAGTACTCAATGTTTAGCTCCCAATTATAAGTGAGAACGTGTGGTATTTGGTTTTCTGTTCCTGTATTAATTTTCTTAGGTTAATGGCATGCAGCTGTATTCATATTGCTGCAAAGGACAAGATTTCATTCTTTTTGACGCCTTTGTAGCATTCCATAATATGTATGTATCACATTTTCTTTATCCAAACCACTGTTGATGGGCATATAAGTTGATTATGTCTTTGTTATTGTAAATAGTGCTGCAGTGAACATGTGTCTTTTTGATAGCACCATATGTTTTCTCTTGAATATATACCTAGTAATGGAATTTCTGGGTCAAAAAGTGGTTGTGTTTTAAGTTTTCTGACATTTTCTACATTGTCATCCACAGTTGATGAACTAATTTACATTCCCACCAACAGTGTACATGTGTTCCCTTTTCTCCACAGCCTACCCAACATCTGTGGGTTTTTTTTTAATTTTTTAATAATAGCCATTCTGACTAGTATGAGATGATGTCTTATTTGGTTTTGATTTGCATTTCTTGGATGATTAGTGATGCCGAGCATTTTTACACCTTTGTTGGACATTTCTTTGCCTTCTTTTGAGAAATTTCTGTTATGCTTTTTGTTCATTTCTTAGTGAAGTTGTTTTTTGCTTGTTTAATTAATGAAGTTCCTTATAGATTCTGAATATTAGACAATTGTCCAAGGCATAGTTATTGAATGTTTTTTATGTTTCTCTAGGTAATCTGTTTACTCTGTTGATAGTTTCTTTTGGTATGCAGAAGATCTTTAGTTTAATTAGGTACCACTTGTCAATTTTTGTTTTTGTTGCAATTGCTTTTGAGGACTTAATCATTAATTACTTCCCAAGGTCCATGTCCAGAATGGTGTTTCCAAGGTTTTCTTCTAGGTTTCCTATAGTTTGAAGTCTTACATTTAAATCTTAATTCACCTTGAGTTAATTTTTGTATATGGTGAAATGTAGGGGTCCAGTGTCATTCTTCTGCACATAGCTAGTCAGCTATTTCAGAACCATTTATTAATAGGCACTCCTTTCCTTGTTGCTCATTTTTGTCAACTATGTTGAAGATTAGATGACTGTAGTAGATATGTGACTCTATTTCTGGGTTTTCTATTCTGTTGCATTGGTCTAGGTGTCTGTTTTGTACCAACAAGTACCATGCTGTTTTTGCTATTGTAGCCTTAAAATATAGTCTGAAGTTGAGTAATTTGATGCCTCCAGCTTTGTTCTCTCTGCTAAGGATTGCTTTGGCTATTCAGGCTCTTTATGGTTCCATATACATTTTAGAAGTTTTAGTACTAATTCTGTGAATAATGGCATTGATAGTTTGATAGGAATAGTATTGAATCTGTAAATTGCTTTGGGCTTTGGGTAATATGGTCATTTTAACAATATTGATTCTTCCAATCCATGAGCATGAAATCTTTTTTTTCATTTTTTTGTATCATCTCTCTGCTTCCTTTAGCAATACTTTTTAGTTTTCCTTGTAGATATCCTTCACCTCCTGGGTTAGATGTATTCTTAGGTATTTGTGTGATTGTGTGTGTGTGTGGCAATTGTAAATGGGATTGAATTATTGATTTGTCTCTCAGCTTGAATATTGTTTGTGTATAGAAGTGCTACTGAATTTTGTACATATATTTTGTATCCAGAAACTTAGCTAAAGTCATTTATCAGTTCCAGGAATCTTTTGGCAATCTTTAGGGTTTCTAGGTATAGAATCCTATCATTAGTGAAGATAGTTTGACTTTCTCTTTTTATATTTGGATCCCTTTTCTCCTTATTTCTTTCTCTTGCCTGATTGCTTTGGCTAGGACTTTCAGGTTTATGTTGAATAGGAGTGTGGGAGTAGGTATCCTTGTCTTTTTCCAGTTCTCAAGGGGAATGCTTCCAATTTTTGCTTCTTCAGTGTGATCTTGGCTATGAGTTTTTCATATATGGCTCTTATTTCTTTGAGTTATGTTTCTATGATGCTGTATTAGTCCATTTTCATGATGCTAGTAAAGACACAACCAAGACTGGGCAATTTACCAAAGAAAGAGGTTTAATGGGCTTACAGTTCCACATGGCTGGAGAAGCCTCACAATCATGGTAGAAGTGAAAGGCACATCTCACATAGCAGCAGACAAGAGAAGAGGGCTTGTGCAGGAAACTCCCATTTTTAAAACCATCAGATCTTGTGAGAGCCACTCACTATCATGAGAACAACAGGGGAAAGACCCACCCCCATGATTAAATCACTTATACAAGGGAACTCCCACAACACATGGGAATTGTGGGACTTATAATGCAAGATAAGATTTAGGTTGGGACACAGCCAAACCACATCAGATGCCTAATTTTTGAGGGATTTCCATGTTGAAGGGATGTTGGATTTTATCTAAAGCTTTTTTCCATATCTATTGGGATGATCACATTGCTTTTGTTTTAAATTCTGTTTTAGTGGTGAATTATGGTTATTGATTTACATATGTTGAAACAATCTTACATCCTAGGAATGAAGTCTGCTTTATTACGGTAAATTAACTTTTGAATGTTCTGTTAAATTCTGTTTGCTAGTATTTTGTTGAGGATTTTTGTTGGCCTGAGTTTTCTTTTCTTTTTTTATTTTGTCTTTACCTGGTTTTGGTATCAGGGTGATTCTGGCTTTGTAGAATGAATTAGGGTAGAGTTCCTTCTTGATTTTTTAAAATAGTTTTGGTAGAGTTGATGCCAGCTCTTCTTTGTACATCTTGTAGTACTAGGCTGTGAATACATCTGGTCCAGGGCTTTTTGTCACTGGCAAGGATTTTTCAGTGATTTGATTTTGGAACTCGATATTTGTCTATTCAGTATTTTAATTTTTTTCTTATTCAATCTTGAGATATTTTTTCCAAGAATATATCTATTTCCTCTAGGTTTTTTTTTTTTTTTAATGTGCATGGAGGTGTTTACAATAGTCTTTGATAATCTTTGTATTTCTGGAGGATCCATTGTAAAGTCACCTTTGTCATTTCTGATTGTGCTTCTTTGCATTATCTTTCTTTTATTTTTTGTTAATCTAGTTAGTAGTTTATCTTTTCTTATTATTCTTTCAAATAACCAACTTTTGGTTTTGTTGATTCTTTTATGTATTTTTGGGACTTGATTTCATTCAGTTCCACTCTTATTTTAGTTTATTTCTTCCCTTCTGCCAGCTTTGGGGTTACCTGTACTTGGTTTTCTAGTTCTTCTAGGTGTGATTTAGATTACTAATTTGAAATCTTTAATTTTGAGGTAGGCATTTAGTGAAATAAACTTTCTCTTAACACTGCTTTTGGTGCATCTCAGAGATTTTGGGTTGTAGTGTCTCTGATTTTATTTATTGTAAAGAATTTATTTTATTTCTGCCTTGATTTTATTGTTTGCCCAAAACTCTTTGAGGAGTAAGTTGTTTAATTTCCATGTAATTGTGTGATTTTGAGAGATCTTCCTCCCATTTTTTTCTATTTTTATTTCACACTGGTCTATGAGTATGGTTGGTATAATTTACGTATATTGGAATGTATTGAGACTTGCTTTATGGCCAAGAATGTGGTCAATCTTGGTGTATGTTTCATGTACTGATGAGAAAAACGTGTATTCTGTAGTTAATGGGTCAAATAGTCTGTTGATGTCTATTAGGTCTAATTAGTCAAGTGTTAAATTTAAGTCCAAAAATTCTTTATTAATTTTCTGCATTGATGATCTGTATCTAATGCTGTCAGTGTGGTGTTGAAGTCTACCACTATTATAGGACTGTCTAAGTCTTTTCATAGCTCTAGAAGTACTTGTTTTATGAATCTAGATACTCTAATGTTGGGTGCATATATATTTCAAAAAGTTATGTCTTCTTGTTAAATTTAACACTTTATCATTATAAAATGCCCTCTTTTGTTAGTTTTTACTGTTGGTGGTTTAGTTTCTGTTATATGATATAAGAATAGTGACTCTTGCTCTTTTTTGATTTCTATTTGTGTAGTAGATCATTATCCGACCCTTTGCTGTGAACTTACGGTGTCATTATGTATGAGAAGAGTCTCCTAAAGACAGCAAACAGATGAATCTTGTTTTCTTTTTATCTAACTTGCCATCAGGGCTTTGTAATAGTGGTGCTTAGAACATTTACATTCAAGGTTAATGTTGACATGTGAGGTTTTGATCCTAATGTGAAGTTGTTATCTGGATGCTTTGCAGTTTCTATTGGGATTTTGCTTCACAGGGTCTGTGGGCTATGTACTTAACTGTGTTTTTGTAGTAGCAGGTATCATTCTTTTGTTTCCATATTTAGAACTCCCTTAAGTATTCTGTGTAAGGCTGGTAACAAATTCCCTTAGCACTTGCTCATCTGGAAAAGGTTTTATTTTTCCTTCACTTATAAAGCTTAGTTTGGAGTGATATAAAATTCTTGGTTGGAATTTCTTCCTTTCTTTTTTTTTTTTTTTTTAAGAATGATTAAAATAGGCCCCTAATCTCTTCTGATTTGTCAGGTTCCTGCTGAGAAGACCATTGTTAGCCTAATGGAACTCCTTTTGTATGCAATCTGCCCTTTTTTGCTATCTGCCTTTAAGATTTTTCCTTTAGTGTTGACCTTGGACAGTCTGGTGACTATATGCCCTGGTGATGTTCAGCTTATATGTTATTTTTCAGTTGTTCTCTGTATTCTTATATCTGGATTTCTACCTCTCTAGTGAGAATAGGAAAGTTTACTTGAATTATTTTCTTAAATATACTTTCCAGGTTTTTTTCTTTCTCTTGCTTTCTCAGGAATGCCAATAATTCATAGGATTAGTTGCTTAACATAATCCATCTTTCTTGAACACTTTGCTCATTTAAAAAAATATATTTTCTCTTTATTTTGTCAGACTGAGTTAGTTCAAAAGATCAGTCTTCAAGTTCTGAAACTTTTTCTTCTGCTTGTTACAGCCTATTTATAATGTTTTTAATTGTACTTTGAAATTCCTTAAGTGTGTTTTGCAATTTCAGAAGCTCTGATTAATTTTTTTAAGATATTTATCTCTTTTTTCATTTCCTAGGTTGCTTTAGAAGTTTCTTCATGTAGCTTTTCAACTTTATCTTGGATTTCATTGAGGTTCTTTGCAATCCATGCTTTTAATTATCTGATCTTTCTGAGTTTCCATTTTAGTTAGAGATGATAAGAAAATACAATCCTTTTGGTGGTGTCACTACAGTCAGATTTTTCATGGTGCCAAAATTCTTGCACTGGGTTTTTCCCATCTGGAGATGTTAGTACTTCTAAATTTTGATATTATTTTTATGAGGGTAGAATTTTTGTTCTTTTTGTTTCATTACCTATAATGTTATCTCTTAAAATAATTTTTCTTTCCCTTTCCCTTTTTTTTTCATCTTTCAAGAATGTTACAGCAGAGAATGCATGGTAGGGTCTTTTGGCTTTCCTTCTAAAGCCCTATACACTTCTTTTGGCAGTATGTGTATATATATGTACACATACTGTGGGATGTGTATTGGGATGGACTGGGATGGTCTGGGTATGTCCACCTGCATGTTCCCTGAAGGCAGGCACAAGCACCAATGCCAACAGAGAATCCAGTGCATGGCCACTAGGCACCCAGAGATGTTCCTAGGTGTAAATCTGGGAGAAATCCTTAGCTCCAAGTTCTCCTCATGGGGATAAAGGGGACCTAAGCTCCTAATCCATTAGTCTGGATGCTCCTGATTCCTGGAGATCTGCTGCCTGGGTGTGGAGCAGAGAGGGCCACCCTTCACCAAGATCTCTGTGCAGTAGGGTAAAGGCAACTCAGGCTGATGGACCAAGCAAGCAGGTTACGTGAATGCCTGGAGATATGCCTGGGCATGGAGCAGAGGGGGTCTCGCTGAACCACAGTCTATGTCCAGGAAAGGTGAGGCATGTCAGACTGCTGATCCAGGTGAGTGGATACTCCAAATGGCTGGGGATCTTCCAGGGAATGGAGTGGAGAGAGCTCTGCTGCAACATTATCTATAACCAAGAAGGGTGGGGAGGTTCAGGCTGCCAAACCAGGCAATTGAGTGCTCTGAACCAGGTGAATGGGTGCTCCAAAGGCCTGGAGAAGTGCCTGGGTATGGAGTACAGAGAGCCTCACGGCACCACAATCTATATCTAGGAAAAGTGGAGTGTCTCAGGTGGCCAAACCAGGCAATTGAGTGCTCTGAATGACTGGAGATCTCCCTGGGCAAGAAGCAAAGAGGCACACTGTGCCATGATCTATGTCCAGGAAGGGTGTGGTGGCTCGGCTCAGGCTGCCGAAGCAGGTGAATTGGTGCTCTGAATGACTGGAGGTCTTTCTGGGTGTAGAGCAGAGAGGGCCTTGCCACATCACGATCTATGTCAAGGTAGGGTGAGGTTGTTTGGGCTGTTGAACCAGCTGAATGGGTGTTCCAAATGCCTGGAGATCTGCCTGGGCATGGAGCAAAGAGATCCCTGCTGTACCAAGATCTATATCCAGGAAGGGTGGGACAGCTCAGGCTGCTAATCCAGGCAAGCATATGTTCTAAATGCCTGGATTTCTGCCTGGAGGTAGAGTAGGGAGGGCTCTGCTGTGCTGCCATCTCAGGGGAGCAGAATGGGGCAACTAGCAATGGCACACATAAATCAGTTCCAGGTTTTCAAGCCGACCCTGGCTGCAAGTCTCACCACCCAGGAGAAACTACAACTGTAGCAGCTCTCCTCCTGTCCCAGAAGTGTGATGGGGGAGAGCCCAATTCCAGTGCCTACTGCTGCAGTACTTTCCACAGTTCTGGCTGTGGAGAACTCTACCTCATTCCAGAGCAGGTGCTCCAATCTCTGGCCTGAGACTAAAATGCTTGTGCAGCTATGCTACTGAGTCATCGAGGGATGGCTGACTTTGTATGCAACCAGATTAAAAATGACCTGCTCTCAGTCCAGTGTCTGGAAAAATGTCTTCAGATTTTCCTGGTGTCTTTCCTTCAAAGCATCTCTAAGTCTTTCCTCCAGTTAACTCTAGGACTTGGATGAAACAAAGTGCCTCCCTCAGACTGGGTTTCTCAGAACCCCAGTGAAAAGGTGAATCACAGAGGGAGGTTTTCTGCCTTTCTCGTGTATTGATATTAAGCCTTCAATCAGTTTTATCAGTTGGATGCCATCAAGAGGCCTGTTTGCTAACATTCTCCTCTCTGAGATCTGGGGTGCCCTTCATAATTCTGTTGAATTATCATTTCCTTTCTTGCATTAAACTCAGAGTTGGTCTTTATTTACTCTCTTGCTATTTCCAAATGGCTGAGGCATGCTAAAAGTCTCTAATTTACTATATTTTGGAAATAAAAATATACTATTTTCCTCCCTTCAAGATGAAGTAAAGAAATTTCTTATGAAAAGTTTTATCAGCTTAAGGAGTTTTTGGACTGAGACTATGGGGTTTTGTAAATATACAATCATGTTATCTGCAAGCAGAGACAATCTGACTTCTTTTGTTCCTGTTTGAATGCCTTTATTTCTTTCTTTTGCCTAATTGTCCTGGCCAGAACTTCCAGTGCTATGCTGAATAGGAGTAGTGAGAGAGGGCAACCTTGTCTTGTGCCGGTTTTCAATGGGAATGGATTCAGTTTTGCCCATTCAATATGATATTGGCTATGGGTTTGTCATAAATAGCTCTTATTATTTTAAGATATGCTCCATTAATACCTAGTTTATTGTTTTTCACATGAAGGGGTGTTGAAGTTTATGGAAGGCCTTTTCTGCATCTACTGAGATAATTATGTGGTTTTTGTCATTGGTTCTGTTTCTGTGATGGATTACGTTTATTGATTTGCACATGTTGAACCAGCCTTGCATTCCATGGATGAAGCCAACTTGATGGTGGTGGATAAGCTTTTTGATGTGCTGCTGGATGCGGTTTGCTAGTATTTTATTGAGGATTTTTGCATCAATGTCCATCAGGGACATTGACTTGAAATTTTCTTTTTTGTTGGATCTCTGCCAGGTTGTGGTATCAGGTTGCTGCTGGCCTCATAAAATGAGTTAGGGAGGAGTCCCTTTATTTCTATTGTTTGGCATAGTTTCAGAAGGAATGGCACCAGCTCCTCTTTTTACTTCTGGTAGAATTCGGCTGCAAATCAATGTGGTCCTGGGCTTTTTTTGGTTGGTAGGCCATTAATTATTGCCTCAATTTCAGAACTTGTTATTAGTCTATTCAGAGACTAGACTTCTTCCCCATTTAGTCTTGGGAGGGTGTATATGTCCAGGAATTTATCCATTTCTTCTAGATTTTCTAGTTTATTTGCCTATAGGTGTTTATAGTATTCTCTGATGGTAGTTTGTATTTCTGTGGGATCAGTGGTTATATCCCCTTTATCATTTTTTATTGTGTCTATTTGATTCTTCTCTCTTTTCTTCTTAGTCTGGCTAGCAGTCTATCTATTTTGTTAATGTTTTCAAAAAACCAGCTCCTGGATTCATTGATTTGAAGGGTCTTTTTTGTCTCTATCTACTTCAGTTCTGCTCTAAACTTAGTTATTTCTTGTCTTCTGCTAGGTTTTGAATTTGTTTGATCTTGTTTCTCTAGTTCTTTTAATTTTGATGTTAGGGTGTCAATTTTAGAGCTTTCCTGCTTTCTGATGTGGACACTTAGTGCAATACATTTCCTTCTAAACACTGCTTTAGCTATGACTCAGAGATTCTGGTACGTTGTGTCTTTGTTCTAATTGGTGTCAAAGAACTTATTTATTTCTGCCTTAATTTCATTATTTACCCAATAGTAATTCAGGAGGAGTTTGTTCAGTTTTCATGTTGTTGTGCAGTTTTGAGTGAGTTTCTTAATCCTGAGTTCTAATTGGATTGCCCTGTGGTCTGACAGATGGTTTGTTATGATTTTCATTCTTTTGCATTTGATGAGGAGTGTTTTACTTCCAATTATGTGGTCAATTTTAGAATGGATACAAAATCAATGTGCAAAAATCACAAGCATTCCTATACACCAATAATAGACAAACAGCCAAATCATGAGTGAACTCCCATTCACAATTGCTACAAAGAAAATAAAATACCTAGGAGTACAACTTACAAGGGATGTGAAGGACCTCTTCAAGGAGAACTACAAACCATTGCTCAAGGAAATAAGAGAGGATACAAACAAATGGAAAAACATTCCAAGCTCACGGATAGAAAGAATCAATATTGTGAATGTGCCCAAAGTAATTTATAGATTTCATTGCTATCCCCATCAAGCTACCATTGACATTCTTCACAGAATTAGAAAAAAAAACTATTTTAGATTTCATATGGAACCAAAACAGATCCCATATAGCCAAGACAATCCTAAGCAAAAAGAACAAAGCTGAAGGCAGCATGCCAGCTGACTTCAAACTATACTACAAGGCTACAGTAACCAAAGCAGCATGGTACTGGTACCAAAACAGATATATAGACCAATGGAACACAACAGAGGCCTCAGAAAAGACACCACACGTCTACAACCATCTGATCTTTGACAAACCTGACAAAAAAAAGCAAAGGAGAAAGGATTCCCTATTTAATATATGGTGATGGGAAAACTGGCTAGCCCTATGCAGAAAACTGAAACTGGACCACTTCCTTACACCTTATAAAATAATTAACTCAAGATGGATTAAAAGACCTAAAACCATAAAAACCCTAGAAGAAAACCTAGGCAATACCATTCAGGACATAGGCGTGGGCAAAGACTTCATGACTAAAACACCAAAAGCAATTGCAACAAAAGCAAAAATTGACAAATGGGATGTTATTAAACTAAAGAGCTTCTGCACAGCAAAAGAAACTATCATCAGAATGAACAGGCAACCTACAGAATGGGAGAAAATTTTTTGCAATCTATTCCTCTGACAAAGGGCTAATATCCAGAATCTACAAGGAACTTAAACAAATTTACAAGAAAGAAAAAAAATCAAAAAGTGGGCAAAGGATATGAATAGACACCTCTTAAAAGAAGACATTTATGTGGCCAAAATCATATGAAAAAAAGCTCATCATCACTGGTCATTAGAGAAATGCAAGTCAAAACCACAATGAGATACCATCTCACTCCAGTTAGAATGGTGATCATTAAAAAGTCAGGAAACAATAGATGCTGGAGAGGATGTGGAGAAATAGGAACGCTTTTACACTGTTAGTGGAAGTGTAAATTAGTTCAACCATTGTGGAAGACAGTGTGATGATTCCTCAAGGATGTAGAACCAGAAATACCATTTGACGTAAGAATCCCCTTACTGGGTATATACCCAAAGTATTATAAATCATTCTGTTATAAAGACACATGCACACGTATGTTTATTGCAGCACTATTCACAATAGCAAAGACTTGGAACCCACCCAAATGCCCATCAAGGATAGATTGGATAAAGAAAATGTGGCACATATACACCATGGAATACTATGTGGCCATAAAAACAATGAGCTCATGTCCTTTGAAGGGACATGGATGAAGCTGGAAACCATCATTCTCAGCAAACTAATTCAGAAACAGAAAACCAAATGCTGCATGTTCTCACTCATAAGTGGGAGTTGAACAATGGGAACACATGGACACAGGGAGGGGAACATCACACACTGGGGTCTGTCAGGAGCTGGGGGACAAAAGGAGAGATAGCATTGGGAGAAACATCTCATGTATGCAGGACTTTAAATCTAGATAATGGGTTCATGGGTGCAGCAAACCTCCATGGCACATGTTTACCCATGTAACAAACCTGCAAGTTCTGCACATATATCCCAGAACTTAAAGTATAATTATAATAATAAAATAATAATAAGCAGATAGTAAATATTTTAGGCTTTGCAAGCCATGTAGCCTCTGTTGCAACTACTCAGCTCTGCCTTTGTAGCATGAAGCAACCAAAGACCATCTATAAAAAGTTTATTGTCCTCCAATAAAAGTTTATTAACAAAAACAGACAAAAGGCCAAATTTGGTCTTCAAACTGTGGCTTGCCAACCCCAGCTCTAGGACAAGCCCAAGAGGATGAAGCCTTTTCCAAGTGCCGTATTTTACAGGACAGGCACCTCCTCCAACCCAGCTTTCTATTACCAATGAGGATGAGAAAGGGAAATGTACTTAGCCTGTGGCAGAAGACAGTTGGGGCATTATCTTTAAAACTGATTATGAAATATGCGAAATATTGGTATGTGCTCCTGCTATGAACAGCAGGATTGTGCTCTCTGTTGGTATTTAAGAGTTAGGTTACCATCTTTCAGGTGGTTTTGAGAATGAAAAGTTGATGAGTACCTTAACCAATCTCTCAGTGTCCTTTCTAACATTCACCTTTTCTGAGATTTATCAGGGAAGAAAGGGTTACTCAGGCTCAAAAACTCATTCACCCAACAAGTATTTATTGAGCTCTTACTGTATGCAGGCACTATGCTAAATCTTGCATATTTAAAATGATGCATTCCAAGAGGTTTTCTTGGGCAAGTTGGCTTGGATACCTCTAGTATTGAGGAGCTCACTGTCTACACAGGGCATCCTACCTCATGGCTGCACAGTGCTTTGCTCCTCAGAAGTACCTCAACCTCACAAGTATAATTACACACCTCCCTCCAATCAGTGAGATATCAACAGGCACCCCTGCCAAACACAGGTACACAGATAACAGGTGAGAAAATGAGGAAATAGTGAGCAAACAAAGAAACACTGACTGCAGCTCTTTCTCACTCCTGGTATTTCTAAAAAGCAAATCAAAATCAATTTCACATCCAAGACATCTTGACATTCCCAAACTTGGGCAAAGTTGACAACAGAATTGTAAGGAGCTGCTTCCCATTAAGAAGAGGATATTAGGAAAGAAAATGATCAGAATTCTTGGGTTAAACCTTGGTCTCAGCCAGCATGGTGACTCAGGCCCATAATCGTAGTACTTTGGGGTGATGAAGTGGGCAGATCACTTGAGCCCAGGAGTTAAAGACCAACCTGAACGATGTAGCAATATCCCATCTCTACAAAAACTTAAAGACTTAGCTGGAGGCCAGGCGCAGTGGCTCATGCCTGTAATCCCAGCACTTTGGGAGGCCAAGGCGGGCGGATCACCTGAGGTCGAGAGTTCGAGACCAGCCTGACCAACATGGAGAAACCCCGTCTCTACTAAAAATACAAAATTAGCTAGGTGTGGTGGCACATGCCTGTAATTCCAGATACTTGGGAGGCTGAGGCAGGAGAATTAAAACAAAAAAAAAAAAAAAGAGGCTTGGCTGAGCATGATGGCGTGAACCTGTGGTTCCAGCAACTTGGGAGGCTAAGGAGGGAGGATCCCTTGAGCCCAAGAGGTCAAGCCTGCAGTGAGTCATGACTGCACTACTGCACACCAGCCTTGATGACACAAGAAAGTGAGACCCTGTCTCAAAAAACAAAAAACAAAAGACAATCAAATAACTTCGTCTCTAGAAAAGGCAAAAGAGAGTCTGGACAGCCCAGAGATGAAAAACGCAGGCCTTGGGGCCTGGCAGGTCTGGATTTGAAGGCTGCTCTTTCCCCCATTAGCCGGGGAACCTGGAGCACGTAATTTCTTAGAGGAGGCAGTTTCCTCAACTGTAAAACCAGGTTACGATAGTACCAATTTCATAGGATGGCTGTAGGATGGAATAAGACACACCATCTGTAGTGGCCACGTGGAGACACGAGCTAGTAGTAAATCAGTGGGCCTTCCCACCTGTCTACTCTCTTACAGCTAAAGGGAAGAAGGTACAGAAACCCACAGAAATGGCTCCTAAGTGCCATGTGGGGCTACGGGTTTGAATAAAAGAAAAAATAAATAAAGTCTGGAGGAATTGGAGGCAGGCAGAGGTCAGGGCCAGGAGGAAAGGGGAAGAAACACAACCGAGGCACCCAAATGCAGAAGCCACTAGAAGCGGCACCTCCACCCCACCCCTGCAAGAGCCTCCAATAAATACTTGGCTGCATCACAGGCTTCACTTCTTCCTGCCCACACGACTGCAAGATCCTGTTTTCAAGCTGCAGTATGCAGGGAGTTGCAACCCACGAATAAGTTACAAAAGCCATTCCAATGGCCACAGCCAACAATGGATAAAAATGAAACTAGAATAGAACAGGTCAGAGTGCATAGCACATCTAGGGGAAGTACTGTATTGTGTCAAATTTTGTCAGTAATACGCACATGTGTATACCTGCTTATGCCATCTACATCTGGATACAGGCACACTCACATAGACTAGAATCCACAATGTCAGCGTGCAGTGTGCAGAGTGTAAGGTAAGTGTAAGTACTGGTCGGGCGCAGTGGCTCATGACTGTAATCCAAGCACTTTGGGAGGCCAAGGTGGGAGGATTTCATGAGAACAGGAGTTCAAGACCAGCCTGGGAAATATAAGGAGACTCTGTCTCAAAAAAAAAAAAAGAAAAAGAAAAAAGGTTAAAAAAAGAGTAAGCAATATTCAGATATACCTTTCCTATTATTATATATGCATACACAATGCATATATCCATACATTCGCAAATACACACATATGTACGTATGTACGTATGTACATATTTTGTTAAATTGGTTTTTGGTTTTACACATATGTATATGCCCACAGGCAGTGGAACATGGGCTTCTTGCTGTTACAGTCAGGAAGATTGAAGCCGCTGTCTAACACACCCTTCAGAAGGGACTCTCAGGGCTCCTGGAGTCCCTGACGGGAAAGCTGGCAGTTCCACTGTGGCCCCACCATGCTGCCAGGGAGAGTGGACGGGGCAGGAGAAGCCAGTCAGCAAGGGCTTTCCCTATGGAGAGCAATGGGATATTCATTTATTTCCTGAAGAGGCAAGGGCATAAAATTAATTCTAAATGTAACAATTAAATCCCAATTAAAAAATCAATTTTAAAATGTGAAAAAATGTTTTAGATTTTTAATCAAAATTCAATTGGAACAACAGTTTACACAGGCTGATAAATATTCAGCCTAAAATATATTTTACCACTTTTCCTTAACTGAATTTGTCTGTCTAATTGAAGATGATTATATTATAGGCATATTTCACTTCAGTTCATTATGCTTCACAGATATTGTGCTTTTTACAAATTGAAGGGTTGTGGCAACTCTGAGTTGAGCAAGTCTATCAGTGCCATTTTTCCAACAGCATATGCTATCTTCATGTCTCTGGGTCACATTTTGGTAATTCTTGAAATATTTCAAATTTTTTCATTATTATGATATCTGTTATGGAGATCTGTGATCAGTGATATTTGATTAATCCTGTAATTGTTTTGGGGCATCACAACCTGTACCCATATAAGATGGCAATTTTAATTGATAAATATTGTGTGTTTTCTGACTGGTCATTCCCCAACCTCTCTCCCTCTCCTTGGGCCGCCATACTCCCTGAGATACAACAATAATAAAATTAGGCCAATTAATAACCATGCAATGGCCCCTAAGTGTTGAAATGAAGAGTTGCATATCTCTTACTTTAAATCAAAAACTAGAAATGATTAAGCTTAGTGAGGAAGGCATGTTGAGAATTGAGATAGGCGAAAAGTTAGGCCTCTTCACCATATCTAAACAGCTAGCCAAATCGTGAATGCAAAGAAAAATTTTTGAAGAAAATTTAAAGTGCCACTCTAGTGAACACATGAATGATAAGAAAACAAAATGCATTATTGCTGATATGGAGACAGCTTTAGTGTTCTGAATAAAAAAATAAAACCGTCACAACATTCCTTTAAACCAAAGCCTAATTCCAAGCAAGGCTCTAACTCTTTTCAGTTCTATGATGGCTCCAAGAGGCGAAGAGGCTGCAGAAAAAAAAGTGTGAGGGTAGCAAAGGTTGATTCATGAGTTCTATGGAAAGACACCATCTCCATAATATAAAAGTGCAAAGTATAGCAGCAAATACTATATAGAAAGTTATCCAGAAGATATAGCTAAGATAATTAATGAAGGTGGCTACACTAAGTAAGATATATTTAGTGTAGATTAAACAACTTTCTGTTGGAAGAAGGTGTCATCTAGGACTTTCATAGCTAGAGAGGAGAAGCCAATGGCTGGCTCAAAGCTCCAAAGATTAAGCTGACTTGCTTCTTAGGGGATAATGTAGCTGGTGAACTGAAATTGATGCCAAGGCTCATATAGTATTCTGAAAATCCTGAGGTCCTAAAAAATTTACTAAGTTTTTAGTAAATTTAATAGAGGTTAAATCTACTCTGCTTATGGTCTATAAATAAAACAATAAAGCCTGGTGATAGCAAATCTGTTTATAGCATGGTTCACTGAATATTTTAAGCTCACCATTGACCCTTCCTGCTCAAAAATAAAGATTTCTTTAAAAAATATTACTGCTCATTGACAATGCACCTGGTCACCCAAGAGCTTTGAAGATGTACAAGCACTTAAATATTGTATGCTTACTAACAAAACATCTGTCCTGAAGCTCATAGATCTAGGAGTATTTTTGATATTGAAGTCTTTTTGTTTAATACATACATTTGGTAAGGCTATATCTGCCATAGATAACTATTCCTCTGATAGATCTGGGTAAAGTTAATTGAAAACCTTCTGTGATATGGTTTGGCTGTGTCCCCACCCAAATCTCTATTGAATTGTAGTTTCCATAATCCTCACATGTCATGGGAGGGACCTGGTGGGAGGTAATTTAATCATGGGCGTGGTTACCTTCATCTTATTAATGTGATAGTTAGTGAGTTCTCCTGAGATCTGATGGTTTTATAAGGGGCTTTTCCCCCTTTTGCTTGGCACTTCTCCATCCTGCCACCCAGTAAAGGACGTTTTTGCATCCCCTTCCACCATGATTGTAAGTTACCTGAGGCTTCCTCAGTCCTGCAGAACTGTCAATTAAACCTCTTTCCTTTATAAATTACACAGTCTTGGGTATGTCTTTATTAGCAGTGTGATAATAGACTAATACATTCTGTAAGTAACTCACCATTGTATGTGTCATTAAGAATATTCATAATTCATGGAAGGAGATCAAAATATAACATTAATAAGAGTATGGAAAAGTTAATTCAAATCCTTGTGGATGAGTTTGAGGGCTTCAAGATGAGTGTAGGAAGTCACTGCAGAAGGGGTGTGTGATGGTTAATACTGAGTGTCAACTTGATTGCATTGAAGGATAAAAAAGCAATAACCCTGGGTGTTTCTGTGTGTGTGTCTTGCCAGAAGAGATTAACATTTGTGTCAGTGGACTGGGGAAGGCAGATCCACCCTTAATCTGGTGGGCACAATCTCGTCAGCTTCCAGCAAATATAAAGCAGGCAGAAAAACATGAAAAAACACGCCTATTCTCCCAGCCTACATCTTTCTCCCGAGCTGGATGCTTCCTGCCCTCGAACATCGGACTCCAAGTTCTTCAAGTTTTGGGACTCAGTCTGGCTCTCTTTGCTCCTCAGCTTGCAGACGCCTATTGTGGGACCTTGTGATTGTGTAAGTGAATATTAATAAACTCCCATATATAAATATGTATATATATGTGTATATATATATATAAAGGGGACAGAACTAATAGGATACTAGTTAGTATAGATAGATAGATAGAGATATCTATATATCTATCTAAATAGATAAGATATATCTAACTAATATAGATATTAGTTTATATATAGATAATATATAATTAGATTATATATGTAAAATATATATTATTATTTTTATATATGTGTGTGATAACCCTGACAAGTACAGGGTGGAAATAGAAAGAGAACTAGAATTAGAAGTGGATTCCCAAGATGTGACTGAATTACTGTAATCTCATAATAAAATTTTGATGGTTGAAGAAATACCTTTACGGATGAGCAAAGAAAAGTGGTTTCTTATGATACAATATACTCCTGGCAAAGATGCTGTGAACATTATTGACATGAGAAGAAAGGATTTAGAATATTATATAAAACTTAGTTGATAAAGCAGCAGTATGTTTTGAGAGAATTAACACCAATTTTGAAAGAATTTCTACTGTGAGTAAAGTATTAACTGATGCAGCAAACTTTATTGTTGTCTTATTTTAAGCAGTTGCCACAGCCGCTTCAACCTTCTGCAACCAGCAAGTCAATAGTCATCAACATGGTGGCCAGACCATCTACCAACAAAAAGATCACAATTTGCTGAAGGCTCCAGTAAGTGTTAGAATTGCTTGGCAATAACGTGTTTTTAAATTCAGTTTTGATCATTGCTTTTTAAGACACAATGCTATTGCACACAATAGATTACATTATTGTGTAAACACAACTTTTATATGCACTTGGACACCAACAAATTCATTTTATTGCAGTGGTCTGAAATCAAGCTCACAATGTATCCCAGGTATGCTTATACAAGATTTACTATTGCATTTTCTGGCCTATCACCCATACAATTCCTGTTGAGTTTCTTTGTGTTTATAAAGTATTGGACTTGTTCACATAAAAACTAGTTTTCTTTTTTACAAGTACATTATCTGTTCAAACTTGCAACAAAAATACTTATAGGGATACCAACCTTAAATTGAAAACAAAGACCTTTTTTTTATATTAATAAAACAACATAGCAACATTCTTATTAGAGAGAAATGAAGGAAATGCTTTTAATACTCATCACTAATTTTTAACAGTCATAACCATCTCAACACAAAATGAAACATATGTATGAGTTATAAAACTATAAAGGAGGCACATCATTTTTCTTTCTATACAATAAAATCATCTTTGATAATCCAGTATAGTTAATTGGAAAAATATATAGAAGAAATCATTTAGTAAAATGATCAAATCCAATCTTTGTTACTGAGCATATATTGCTAGATTTGCTATATCAAAATAGCACAAGTTGGGTGGCCTTATCATCTCATAGTTCTGTACCTTTTGATCAGCATCTCCCGAGCCCTCCTTCCAAACCTAGCCACCATTGGACTCTCCTCTGGTAGCAACCATTGGACTCTCCTCTGGTAGCAACCATTGGACTCACTACTTCTAAGGGATCAATATTTTTAGAGTCAACAAATGAGTGAGATCCTGCAATTGACTTTCTGTGCCTGATTTATTTCACCAGAAGTTATTAATTTTGATGAATGTGTGTTTTCACTTTCATCTTTAATGATTTTTATGTCCACACTTTGTCTTCTCACTTTCAAACCCCAAAGACTGTGAGTATGTTGTTTGCTACATGATTTTAGAAGCTTTATTGCTTTAATTTTCACTTTTAGTCTATGATTATTCTTTATGTTTTTGTGACATGAAATAGGAGAGGTTCATATTTTTCTATGTCTACTTGTTTCAAAACTGTTTGATTAGGAGGGTTTCCTGTCACCATTGAATGGCCTGGTTGCCTTTGCAAAAAATTCATTGACCATATAGGCATGTGGTTATTTCTGAAATTCCTGTTTTGCCAATTATCTTTTCTACACCAATACATAACTATCTAAATTAGTGTATATTTATAATGGACTTATAAATTAAGTAATATTGATTTTCCAATCATGTTTTTCAAAATTATTTTGGCTTCTCTACATATTTTGTTTTCCTATAAAACTTCTAGAATAAACTTACAAATTCCTACAAAAGAGACTTTTGTAATGTTGACCAATATTGTAGTGACCATTTTATTTCAAATTTTTCAGAATTTTATTATTAACATTATTGAGTATTACAATCTATATACATAGCATATTTCTATAATAATTTAGGTCTTTCTTAATTTCTATTAGCAATCTTTGTGAACTTAAATATTTCTCTTACACTCATTCTTATTTTATAGTAATTAAAATATTTTAACAGAACCATTTTATTGTATTTTTTTTCTAATGGTTTGCTACTTGCATATCAAAACACAATTGGCTTTTTTCTATGTTATCTGGTACCCTGCAAGCTTGGTCCACGTATATATATATTTTTTTCATACTAGTAGCTATTTTATATATTCTTTAGTATTATTTATGTAAACAGACATATTCTGAGTATAAGCAGTTTTGCTTCTTTTCTGATCTTTTTAAATTTATCTCTCTTTCTTATTTTATTATACTCTATGCTTTATACTTTTATTTCTTCTAATTAACTTAATGGTTAATATATCCTGGACAATAATGGAAAGAAGTAATGAGAATTGGGGAGTAGATATTATTGTTTTATTAGTTTTTTTGGTGGGGGAAATATTTCAATATTTCACCATTGAACACAAGGTTATTTTTAGGATTTTTATATTGTTGAACATTATTTATTTAAGGATACTCCCTTTAATTCCCAGTTTCCTGAGAGTTCCTGTAATTTTGCACTTTAAAAAAATTTTAAATATCTCATTTTAGGATCACCTCTTTATCATGTTAATATGAAAATTCATTTGATCTTTTCCAAAGATCAACTTAAACTTCTATTCCTGCAGTGAACTTGTCTTGATCATGATGAATTAAAATATTCGTGTATTCCATATATTCAGTTGTGAAAACTATTTATATTTATAAGGAATATGGATCAGTAATATATATATAGTAGAAACATGCACATATATGGTTGATATAGCATATCTGTATGTATATGATATACGTCATGTATACACATATACATACACTTTTTGTGAGTAAATGTTTTGAATATTAAATTTGGTAAATACTGAGTTATTAAAATTTTATATTTTTTCTTCAGTCGGTTTTGATAAGTGGTGTTTTAAAAAAAATTCATGTATTTTATCTAAGTCGTTTAAATAATTAGGAAACTATTGTACATGACATTCCTTTAGAATGTGTTTAATCTCTGAAGGATCCATAGTAATATATTCTTTTATTCCCGATAACAGTGATTTACGTATTTTTTATTTTTCTTTAATTATTTCTGCTAGGATTTACAAATTTTGTCATCTATTTCTGTTTAATATCAGGGTAATCTACAGTCTTAGAATGTAGTTATTATTCAAAAGACATTTCTTCTGGGGTTTTAATAGAAATCCTGGGTATTTACCAAGCCTTTATAACTTGGCATAATTCAACCTCCAAACTTTTGTTTCCATGGTGACAAACAGTAGCTGTGATGTCTGTTCACCTTTTTGCAGCCATTGTTTTCTACCTGGAGCGGTGAAGTCGTCCCTGAGAATGTTGATTTCTACCTGATTTCTTTCAATGCTACAACACACCTACTGGTTGTTCTTGAGAGCCAAAAACCTGTACAGATTTCACCCAATGATGTTTCCTTAGTTTGAGGATCAAATTTTTTCCAGTTTTTGCCTACTTTTGGAGCATTTAGTGCTTCTGATTTACTTTTTTGGTGATATTGTTTCTAACATATTGATATTTTTAAAACTACAGGCAAATGTGCTATTACCAGAACCAGAATTCATTGGATATAAACTTTCACACTGCCAGTTATCTGACCTGGGTGGAAACAAGAATATTAAATTTTTGAAGTTTCAGTAGCTTCTAATTTAATTTCTAGGGAGGATGTATTTTACTGGCAAAAATCAGCAGCAATAACCCTGGAAAATTGAAAAGTGACATTTTAATATTTAAGATGTAATATTTAAGATTTATTAGCTATAAGATTATAAGAGACATTCCTTCTAAAATGTTTGGAATTTGTTCAAATATTGAGATAACAAAAAAATAGTAAAAAACAATAACAACAACAAAAGCCCAGATATCTGGTCAGATATTAAATTGAATTAAAGCTGTAATGTGAAAACTCACATATTTAAACTTTCCATTTAGTTTTTCATCTGTTCCAGTCCAGTTGTAACAAAGAATAAATGTTTCTTTTCTACAGTCATAAAATGCCCCTCAGCTTCAGTCAATGCCTTGAGGAAGATACTTAGAAACTGCACCTTTCAGTTTTTGCAAGCAATTGAACACTACTAAAATTCCGTTACTCCATAGTCTTTAAATACTTTAATGTACAGTACAGTGATCAATAAGTGTGGTAATTCAATCTCTTCACTTTCAGTGTACTTTTGTTTATTAAGGTGATCACAAATTTCGATTTAATTATTATGTTTTTCATTTCAGCTAAGATGCCTAAGTACCACCCACTAAGAATAGAAGAATTTAAAACAATTTCAGGTTTAACATGGACAGACAATCAATAATGAATTGCTTCCATTTCCCTGAAAAATTACCTGCAACCTCTTCTGTGGACAATTACTTAAACAATTGGCATTGGAAAGAAACAGAAATGACTTGGTGATTTGAACACAAATGTTGTTTGGTAATACAGGAGTTATTCAGAAATAATTTTTTGTCAGATAGAGAGGGTAAAAGGAGTTCTTGTTTAGGCTTTTTTCTTTTAATAAAAACAACCCCCAAAACCATCTCTTTTCTAACAGAAAAGGCGGCTTGAAGGGCTGGGCTGGCAAGCTTTGATATGCAAATACAGGCCAATAGAAGCTAGGTTCACTCAATGTGGCGATTCCACCATCTTCTCCTTGTCACCACTTGTGCCAAGTGTAATGGCCACCTCCAGATAACACCATGTGTTCAAAACATCATGGTGATCTGCACTTGCTTATTAAAGGGCTAAGGTGGGAGGGCCAGGTTTTTTGTGGGCTACTTAAATAACACACCTGGTCAAAACAATCCCCTGGGCCCTATGCAAACCGGACATGTCCTCCTCCGGCATCCCAACAGAAGCAACCACTTTTCTGCCACGCACAGGGATCCTCTCTGTTTCAAGCCCCTCTCCCACTCTCTCTGTACAGGGGGAAGCCATTTTCTTCTTTCTTCTTTCTTGCCTGTTAAACTTTTTGCCCCTTAAAACCACTCCAAGTGTGTCTGTGTCATTAATCCTGTCGGTGCGAGACCAAGGACCCTGGTGCTCTTCCAGTCATCAGAGCCATATCTTTATTTCACAGAAATGTCTGGGATGCTAGAGCTAAAAGATACTGGAACTGCAGCCAAAACCATACCACAGAAACTGCAGAAACCCTGCATCTAGTTATTTATTTACAGGACAGCTTGCGCTATTGCTTCGTTGCCAGCATCAATCAACAGATACTTTTTCTCCTGGAGAATGCACATGACTAACCTAGCTGCCACTGATAACAGAACGTATTCTCTGCTTTGTATCTTTATCACTAGCTTCTAGCTCATAATATGGAATCAGTGCATCTGATGGGTTGAAGTCATGAAACATGTCCATGCCTTAGGTGGGACAGTAAGTGTATTAGATAGCTTCTTTCAGATTATGCTGCAGCAACTATAGCTCCTTCACTTTGAAAAATAATATATTCTTACATACTTTATATGTCAATTTTGTGTTAACTGAGGTTTCCTTTCTTATCTGTTCACAATTCAAGGCCTAGGGTGAAAGAATAGAATGATGTGTTATCTGTGAAATCTTTGGCTCTGGCCTTGCATGCAGTCACTTCTGCTCACATTTCATTGATGATATCAAGTTACAAAGCCAAGCATGATGTTAATGGGGCAGGAAATTAAACTCATTCAACAGAGAGACACTTAAAACAGCTTGACAATAGAAAGAGATGCAAATCTTTTCATAGTGAAGGCAGTGGATAATTGAAAACATTAATAAAATCTACTAAATTATCGTATTTTCTTCTGTGGTCTGAGATGAGCCACATCAATCCTTTTATGGTAGAAATTCAGCAATATAAAGGAGTGTTTCAGATGCTGGGCAGCTATGTTATGATAATTGTTCACAATACATTTTGAGACTCATTTCTTTTGAAAGATGTACAGTGTTTTAACTTGTTTGGCCTCCTTTGAGTACAAGAATTGTTAGTTGCAAAGTTTGCATCCATAGAGGACAACAGACTCAAACCGTCTCTAATTGCTCAAATAATGCATTAGTACCCATAAAAACGGTTACCTACTAAGGAACGTATTCTGTTCCCCTTCGAAATATTTCAGTTTTATGAAACTACCTTCATGGGTTTAGGAAGTAGATCTATAATACTAACAAATGTGTCCAGCTGGAAGTAAATGAGAAATGATCTGATTAAGAAATATAATCTAAATAAAGCCTTAAATTAGGCTAATACACCATTTGAAAAAATGCCACAATTTCTTAAAAAGACTTTCAAAATAACTGTGATCAGACTACTATTGTTCATTATTTTGAGAATAACTAAATATTTTGTTGAAATTTACCAATGCACTCCAAGAGGAAATGCCCAATAAACTAAAGAAGTGCCTTTTAGAGGAAACTCAGTAAGATTCCATTGTACTGAGCTCTACTGAGGAGAGGGTGTTATGCCTGTGTGGATGATGCAGACTAACTTTCACAATCCCCCCTTGAGGTGATAGAGAAAGAATAACTACAGACAAATCAGTAGCCAGAATATCTCTTTTCTGGAATGGGAAACTGGGAAATGAATAATATAGGCAATTTTTAAGAATAAAATGAAGATCTTCTAAAAAGTTTTGTTGATGCAGTACTGTTTTCCCAGTTTGTCTTTGCAATTCAATAATGAACATGAAAACATAAAATACTTAGTATACTGGAAAAATAGAGATTGAAAACATTTGTTTAACAAGAAGTTAAAAAGAATGGAATTACTTTATAAAAATTAAAAGACAGTGAAATAATTTCCCTGGAAAACTCAAGGTCAACTTTCTTCTAATGGAGGAAAAGGTATTACGCATTAATTTGCTTCAAAATGCATTGACATGTAAAGTTAAAAGAAGGTAATTGAAGCAGCATTGAAGTGAAACCAATTTAGCAGAATAAAAATCAAGTATTGAGATATTTAACTGAAAACAGTGTCCTTTCAAATCAATGAGAAAAGATTTGGCCACTCAATAATCGCTGCTGGATAAATGTTTTTCACTACTTTGAGGAAAAACATCTTCAAACCAGGGAAAAATATGAAGAAATAAGGAAAACAACACAATACAAAATGAAACTTAAACTAAAACAAAAACTAAATTTATCACCCGAGGTAATGCCAGGACACCAAAACCATGAGTAAACAGAAAATCTTTATTTTCAATAAATTGCATCTAGAGAAATGTTAACAAAGAGCTTAAAGGAGAAGAAAGATCTCTTTCAGAAGATAGCTGCTACTTCTAAGGCTGAAGGAGCATGAACAAGGATAGAATCAGAAATTCGAAGGAAGGGCACAAACTCTAAACGAAACTTCAAACCTCGGAGAAGAATGGTGGCCAAAGACACAAGCAGCCTGCTTGGGATGATGAAACATGCTGGCAAGTGCAAGCCACAGCTGGTCTGTAGGAAATGTCTCTACTGAGACAAGCCACAGCTGGTCTGTAGGAAACGTCCCCACTGAGACAAGCCACGCAGGTTTGCAGGAGCTGCCCACTGTTGACTGATGGAGAACCCTGTTAGTGCCATTCACAGTGCATCTGCCAGGGCAACTGCAGAGAATGCCACCAGTGCTCTCACCCCTCCCAGCTGAGCCGCTGGCCACTGGGCAGACAAATAGCCTACCGGAAGAAGGAAGGAAAAAAAGAAAATGCTTTTCTCTTGCTCTGGTTTGCAATGTCTTTCCAGCACCCTCTATTGGCAAAGGCTAACCTCAATTCATACAGCTAAGAAAAAAGTGTCTACTGTAGAGTTCGTTTTTAATGTTTCTGAACTATCCTTACAGGTTAGTGTATGTTTGAAATTATTTCGCATGTAAAAATTTGGAATTCTTTTTCAAAAGTTGGTGATGAGCAACAGTTAATAAAGCAATATGTAAATATAGAAGCAATCAAAGAAAAGTCATAGATTTTTATTCTTATACAACTAAAGTCCAGGGGCAGTGGCTCATGCCTGTAATCCAAGCACTTTGAGAAGCTGAGGCGGATAGATCACCTAAGGTCAGGAGTTCGAGACCAGCCCGGCCAACATGGCAAAACCCTGTCTCTACTGAAAATACAAAAATTAGCCGAGTGTGGTGGCGCACACCCGTAATCTCACCTATTCAGGAGACTCACTTGAACCTGGGAGGCGGAGGTTGCAGTGGGCCAAGATCGTGCCACTGCACTCCAGCCTGGGTGACAGAGTGAGACTCCATTTCAAAAAAAAAAGAAAAAAGAACTCTGTTTTCTAAAAGTCTTCATAAAAATAAATACAAAGGGAAAGACTGGGTCATAATAGTGTGCTGTGTGTGTGTGCGCATGTGTGTACATATTTCTGTGATAGGTGAATAGTTGTAACTTTAGGCAAAGAATCCTGAGTCCTTGGCCATAAGAAAAGAGAAAGCCTAGCTGGTTGATGAAGATATACAGATGTTCAATTACTTTGATAATAAGAGAAAAAAATCAACAACATTTTAAGATATCATTTTTGATGCTCAGTTTTTTATATATAATATAGAGTTTGCTGACAGCTTATGGAGAAATGAGATTGAACATATACCTATTTAGAATTAGAATAGTACAGAAATTTGAGAGCAAAATTTGAAGAATGACTATTATTTGATTCAGCCATTCTACTTTTTAAAATATTTTCCAAATAATCATTCACAAATGTGAACAAGAATATAGGCACAACATTCATGCTTTGAAATATCTAAAAATAAAAGAGAATCTAAAGATGTATCAAGCAGGTATTTGTTAAATCAAATTACATAACATGCTCTGAAATACTATGAATATAGTCATTTAGGCCAATGTATTAACAAACAAGGAAAGAAGTCAATGAAGAAGAGAATGAAAATGGCACATTGAGTAAGACAAAGTGTGTTGGTGTAATAAAAAGTATGCATATGTAAGTTTATTGAATAAGGTTTGAAATAATTCATATTGACCTATTAAAATGGTTGGCTATTTAAAGAGCAACTGAAATCATAACTTTTTACTATATAACTGCTTATTATTTTATTTTTAATTACAATTTATAATTTTTGAAACAGTATAAAACTATTACAGCAATAAAAAAATAAATACCAATATATGTATATAGATCTCCAAGATTCACATAGATTCAGTCTATATATCAAAAATCATAGTCACTGGTTTAATATTAAGCAAAACGTTTGACATTCAGTGTGACAGATTGTGTGTATAGATCTGATTATCACAAAATGTGTGGAAAAACACTAAGAAAATTAAATAAGTTGTTGAGATTATATATGTTTTCTTTCTTTGATTAGTTCATGCTATTTCACACTTTTCAAATATTTCCATGAGGAACATGTGTTTCTTTTATATTAAAACCCCAAACAAACCAAAGCCAAAGGCTCGTTGGCTATTAGATAGATTAAGTGTAAGAAGCAAAGTATTATAAAATTTACACTCAGAATTTTCGGTGATAATAAACCTGTATGTAGTGACATAAACTTGCCTTCCATTGATTGCAAAGTCCTGTCTCTAAGGCCTTGATCAATCCCTTTTGACCCTTTTATAATTAAGAAATTGTCCTGGTATGTACCTTACTGAGTCATAGTGTTGGTTAAATGCACCAAACATTCTACTTAGATCAAAATAACAATTTACAGATATTAGCTAACAGCTATATTGCAGTCTGTTTTATGTGACTTCATAATCAAATGGTTATTATTTATAAGTTTAGCTTTCCTATAATATTTTGTTTATCATTGGTACCCAACACATATTAATAGTAGATATAAATGTTTTAAAAGCACGATTGACCTGAGAAAAGTTCAGCTGATTTATAGTCATAATTTCAAAATGGGCATAAGGTCAAGTCACAAATTTCAGCTGGCATTTGACATTATTGGATCAATAGTATCTCTAAAGTTACTTTTACATTAATTATAACCATTTAAATCAGTTTCCCATTATAAATCATTTATTTGACTTATTGAATTTTAGATTTAATAAACATAATAGAAAAACAATGTTGCCAAAGCAAATTCCTGCATTTAGGATCTAGAAATCCTTTCTACCTAAGGAGACCATGAAGGGATATACGTTGGGTGATACATATCAGAGTTCAGTGGAAACATCATGATTGTGAGAATGAGCAAATATAACAATGTTCTTTTTAGTTGTCCCATAGTAACATTCCATGTCCAGTAATTTGTTAATGTGTAGGACAAACTGGAATCAAGTACTTAATTTGATCACATCTAAAACTAAATTGTACAGCAATAGATGAAATGACACCTGGAGCTATCAACTGTACCTAAATAAGAGGCTCTCGTAATTCAGGGGACAAGTGAAACCACTTCAGTTTTAAATAGATGAGAGGCTGTGAAGAGATAGGATTGGAATTTAGTGGTAGAAAAGGGCTAGGAAAATGTCATTATTGTAACTTTCTAGAACAATTTTTAAAATCTTTTTGTTTTCCTGCATGCTATGTGAGTAATGTAGTTTAAGCCCCCGTAAAAATAGCTTTAACTGTTCAAAAACCATTATTGAAAACTATTTTTATTATATGTTAAATGGAAATGTTTTTGTATATTTTGGGGAGTACAAAGAATGAACGCAGCCCTTGAAATACTGTATTTACCACTTTTCTTGTTTTTTATTGTTTGAAGAGAGAATAGCAGGTATAGGAGACAGCATCAGAGTTGAAAGAAGTAAACCGATTTGGAAGATTATATGATTTTCTTAAATGAATAAATTTCAGGAGAATTTAGCAACCCACACCTTCAAAGCCAGTCTCTATTGTTGACACCCATTGAAATTTTGGAAAATATGCCTATCTCTCCTGGTTCCAGCATAGTGTACTGCAATCTATGAAACAGGCTTTTTTTTTTTTTCTTTTTTTTTAATGGAGCTGGAATGCAGTGGCACCATCTTGGCTCACTGCAAACCTCTGCCTCCTGGGTTCAAGCGATTCTCATGCCTAAGCCTCCCGAGTAGCTGGGATTGGAGGCGCACTGCAACGCCCAGCTAATTTTTGTATTGTTTGTAGAGACGGGGTTTCACTATATTGGCCAGGATGGTCTCGATCTCTTAACCTCGTGATGCACCCGCCTCAGCCTCCCAAAGTGCTGAGATTACAGGTGTGAACCACCGCGCCCAGCCTAAACCAGATCTTTAAAAACAACTTTAAAATCTAAAGTGTGATCATCTCTTACATTATCACTCTTTGGTTTTTCAAAATAATAACTAATAATAACATACATTATTTGAACACTTCTAATACCTGGCATGTTACTAACTGCTTTCCCTGGATTTTACTCAAAATAATTATATAAAGTAACTACTACTATTATGGAGCTTTTGCTAGGTCATATGCAAATTTAACACTACCCCTAATACCACAGAGGCTTACAAAAGAGTAAGTTTTATATTTTGTTCATGCCATGTGCTGCCTGTGAATTGGCTGTGGCTGTATTTATCACAGCGTCTTAATTCTGGGATCTAGGCTTAAGGGTGAGCATTTCTCTGAGATAGGCTGTTCCTGGATAAGTGTGAGGTATGTGAAGGTGGGACCTCATGATATTTCATACGGCTTCTGCTGTAATAGAGTTGTGCGTAACACTTCCATTCACAGTTCATTGGCCAAAAGCAAGTTGCTTTGCCGGTTGTGGTGTCAATGGGGGCAGTGCTGTGTATTCCTTCCACACAAAGGGGCAATGCAGGTACTATGGTGCAGGAAGTATTGCATAGGCCTCTTGTGAAAAGGAGAAAACAACTGGAAACAAGAAAATTGACAGCAGGAATTTTTACCATTTTACTAAAAACAGGATAAATGACATGATTGATGTCACGGCTAATCAGGGACAGAGCTGAAGTTTACCCCAAGCAGTGCAGGTCCAAACCTACTTTATTCTGCCCTATATCATATTGTATTATGACACTTTTTATTCAAATATATATTATCTTATATCCCAGAGACAAGACCCTAATTATTCTCTTCATTTGCATATAACTAATGAGCAAGGAGAAAGGATCTTGCTTTCTGCTGGTATAAATTTACTAAGTGATTAATACTAAATGCTTCATTAGGATAATCAGCAGTTGGCCAGGCAGGTCTATGAGAGAGTAAGTATTTGCATTTCAAAATATAAGTATTTTATACTTTTGGAAGTATAATTCCAAAAATCAAATTGCAACAGTTTCACTCCCCAGGAACCAGTGATGGGGACAGATTGTTTCTTTGAAGAAACTTGTAGTATAATGAGGTGAAATACAAGGGACTAGCAATTCCTACAGCATAGTACATCTATAATTGCTACATTTTTTTTGTGTTGGTCTTTTGCTTCAAATCAGCAGGTTGTCTTGCAAGAAACTGCTACTTAATAGGGAATATTAAATATATGCATTAATGTTCTAACGGTAGATTTTGCCAGAAGGCAATGAAGTGCCATGTGTGTTAAAATATAAATAGAATGTTGTTCCATTTTGTAAGATAATAATCTAAGTTTTTAATGATAATAACATGATAAACCATTTACTGAATGTCTGAAAATAAAATGTTGTTCAATAGTTAGCCCAGCGAGAAAGCATCATTATTCTAAAGAAAGCCTACATGTTATGCACCAATAAAAAATCAGACTTAACAAAATAGTATGTGCTCTAATATCTTTAATTGATATTTAACTTGAGCATTCTGAAAAACTGATTATGCTTTAGTGAATTCAATGTTTTTAAAAAACCCTTACTTTAATAGAAAGGGTAGACTTTTAAAATCTGCAGGGTAATAGCAAAATGTTCATAAAATTAAGTACAATGAAACTAATTTTAAAAAAGCTAAGGTATGTAAATATGTGGAGTAGACTGAATAATGTTCATCAAATATTTCAGGTAATAATACCTGAAATTTATAAATGTCAGCTTATTCAGATAAATGTCTTTTTTGCACATATAAGGGACTTGAGTGGATGAGTCCTAAATACAATCATATTTATCATTATAAGAAGAAGGCAACTGAAGATTTTAAACACACAGGGAAGAAGGCAATGTGAAGTTGGAGGCAGAGAATGGAGTGGCGCAACACAAGCCAAAGATTGCTGGCAGCCACTAAAACCTGAAAGAGACAAGCAAATCTTCCCCTAGATCATCTGGAGGGAGTGTGGCCTCCCCACCGCTTTGATTTTGGCCTAGTAATACCGATTCTGGACTTCTAGTATCTAAAACTGTGACACAATAAATTTATGTTGAAGCTGCCATGTTCGTAGTGGTTGATTACACAAGCCATAGGAAATGAACACAAATATTGGTCCACGGACATTGGATGTTGCTATTATAAATACCTGAAAATGTGAAGGGGCTTTCGAGTTGGATAATGGGTGGAAGCTAAAAACATTTTGAGGCAAATGATAGAAAATACCTAAATCTGCATAAACAGACTGTTAGTAGAAATGCGGATGCTCAAAAGCACTTCTGGCAAGGACTTAGAAGAAATAAAGGAACCTATTATTGGAAACTGGTGGGAAGGCAATCTTTATTATGTAGTGACAAGTATATCACAATTTAGTTAGCTAAATTGTGTTCTACGGTTATTTCAGAAGCAGGAATTATAAGCAATGAATTTAGATGTTTACCTGAGGAGATTTCCAACCAAACTACTAAAGGTGTAGCCTGCTTATATCAAAATGTAAGAGGACAGTAGTTTATTAAGGAAAAAATAGTTATGCAAAAAGAAATTAACACGATGATTTGGGAAATTCTCAGCTTATCCACATTACAAAAAAAAAATGATAACATTAAAAGAGTTAACTGTGAGGAAACCACATTGAGGTGATGGACCATGGTGCAGCTGGGCACCTGTTACTAGCACCGAGGAGACTACATGCATGGGCTCATTGATTCACTCAACCATCTTATAGAAGGCAGGAATAGAGATTGGATTATTCAAGAAAGATCTGTGGAGGATGCTCTTGTCTAAAGGTGTGAATTCCTGTAAAATACATGGGAGACCCACAAGTTTTTTAGAATGTTGTATCAGCATAAATACTGCCGGCTTGAACTAAAATAGTCAGAGATTAAATAAGCAAAGGTAGTTTAACAACCAAAACTCTACAGGCAATAAACAGGCTGATGAAAGTACTGTGAAGTACGTATGTGTCATCCTTCAAGAAAAAGAAAGGACGACTCTCAGGGCAGACACTTGGGCCCAGGATCTACAGTATGAACAAAGAAGAGGCCCAATCTGCAGGCAAAGAGGCAGAATCCCGAGCCACGCTGCAGGAGGCAGAGTCCTGAGCTACAATGAATTACTTTCAGGCCACGAAACCTAGGTAAATTTTCCCTGCTTGATTTCAAAATTGTTTGGAAATTCTGACTCCTTTCTTTCGTTTTCTCCCTTTTGGAATGACAGTGTTTTAAAAAGTTAGACTATGCCTCACCCACCATTGCATTTTGGCAACAGATAAATTTTCTAGTTTTACAGGTATATAAATTGAGAAAAAATTTTCCTCAGGATGGATCATACCCAGAGTATCATATATATGTGATTTACATTATTCAGATGATCAACTTTGAATTTTTGGGACTGATGATATTTAGATGGCATTTAGAACTTGGGCTGATGCCTTAATATGTTGAGATTTGGAAAATGTTGGGATAGAGTGAATATATTTTAAATCTGGGATGGACATGAATCTATAAATGTCAGAGGAAAGACTATAATAGGCTGAAAAGTGTTTCCCCTAAATATAAGTCCTAATTTCTTGAACTTGTACATATTACAATGGGGAAAAAATGTGCCTCTGCAATTCAGATTAGGTAAGAATGTAAAGATGAGCGGATTATCCAGGATATTCTTAGTGGTCTTTAAATGCAATCGCAAGTATCCATATATGAGAAGGCAGAGAGAGACTTGACATACATACAGAGAAGAAAGCAATGTTATCACATAGGTAGAGATCTGAGAAATGTGGCACAAGGCAAGGAATGATGGCAGCCATCAGAGGCTGTAAGAGACAAGGAAGATTTTATTTTTATTTTTATTTTTGAGAGGAAGTTTCGCTCTTGTTGCCCAGGCTGGAGTGCAATGGCGCAATCTCCGCTCACTGCAACCTCCGCTCACTGCAACCTCCGCCTCCCCGGTTCAGGTTCAAGCAATTCTCTTGCCTCAGCCTCCCGAGTAGCTGGGATTACAGGTGCCTGCCACTACACCCAGCTAATTTTTGTATTTTTAGTAGAGACAGGGTTTCACCATGTTGAAGGCTGGTCTTGAACTCCTGACCTCAGATGATCTGCCCGTCTCGGCCTCCCAAAGTGCTGGGATTACAGGCATGCGCCACTGCGCCTGGCCAGAGTTTCTCTTTTCAGAGTCCCCCGATGGAGCTGGTCCTGTTAACACACCTTAATTTCAGCCCAGTGATACTGATATTTCACTTTTGTCCTTCTAAACTGTGAGAGAATGAATATCTGTTGTTTAAGTCACCAACTCTGTGTAGCTTGTTATACACTCATAAGGAAACTCATATGGTAGGTAAGACACTGTCTGCTCTCTGAATCATATCAATATTTTCTTAATAATTTTAAGACTTTCTATAAAATGTTCAAATTTAATACTAATGGTGTTAATATCTGTTTATTTTTATGACAGCTTGTACCTATTTTAATAGTAAAATCCAGTGTCACCTGAACACAATGCTTCATTTTACTGGGTAGACTTTAATATTAATTTTAAAGAAGCAATGAAAGAAGATAGAGTAGGTAAAGGATAGAAATGTCAGTTATTTTATAATTTATACATAACACATCTACTTACATGATCTCTGCATAATTTCAAGTCTATTTTTTTCCTGTCTACCTCAAGACAGTTGTGAGGATCAAATAACCTTTGAATTATTATTGAAGTGATTTCAGTTGTAAGAAGACCTGTTAATACAGTGGGAGCATTCTTTCTTTCTGCACTAGTGTTATCTCTTTAGGAGACTTTAATATGGGCTACGCTAGGGCCCAGGTAACTACATTTCTCACCATGTCTTCCTTAATTTTCTAGTCCTGGAGACTGCACTGAGAAGTGTCCACACTCTATTTTCACCAGTGTATCAAGTGGACAAATATTTACAGTATGAAAGTTATTTTTTTTTCTTATGGGGTAGATCAAGAGCCTTGCTGCCGGAACTTACCTTTAATTTCATCTCTGATAATTATATTTGATGACAATTAAGTGGCTGATAATGATCATGGTATACGTATGTGTGTGTGTGTATGTGTGGAGTGTAGCCTAGTGTAACTTACAGCCCTAGGATAGGATGATTTGAGACAAAGACTTGGAAATATCATACTCACATGTTAGCTGTAAGCTAATATCCAAACCAAGATATATCCATTCAATTTAGGCATTACACTGGTGTAACTTAAATAATGTAAAACATTTTGTTTGCCTTGCCCCCTATTTATTTAAAGCCCAGTCCATATGCAGTGATTTTACTCTTTGTATAAATAAGTAAATACCTCCCATTGTAAACCTCTTTAGCACGGCATCCAAATCTCGCAGCATCATATTGTCTTTCTTGATCCATTTGCCTCTCAAGTGACATAGAATATTGTGCCATTTCCTAAAGAAAGAGGTATTTCATAGCTCTGTGCTTTAGACCATTTGCTGCCTCTTCCTGAAATGAGCTTACTCCCTTATCTTTGTATGACCTTCACATACTTCAAGTTGGAAAATTAATATTCTGCATATCATAATTTCCTATTCCCACCAAGAAAATTTAGGTGAACTGAATGCTGTTTGTACACTGAAGTTTATATAGCTTCATTATTGGGTTATTCCCAATAACATGGTAGTGATAGATATTTCAGGGCCTGTTTCAGTAGACGGAAGTCGCTCGAGCAAAAATATCTTTGATAAAATAATTGTGTTGCTAAAGTTTTATAATCAAAAAATTTTTAGAATAAAAAATATGTTATGTATATATGCCAGAAAGACAATACAAGGTGAAAGATAGTATTTTGCACAGAAAAGAAAATTAGTCGAAACAAAGACACTAATAAACATAGACCTATAAACTATAAATTAAAATATGATTTTTAATTTTTTTGCCACTAGTTTTTTTAACTTAAAAACATCCAATAAGCACCAATCTATTATTTATCTATACAAATACTTTTAAGTTGAATAACACCAAGTAAAGTTTACAAATTCAATGGCAACACCAAATTTTGAAATACAATTAAACTATATTCTCTAGATAAGACACATTTTACCTACATTTACACAAAAAAATTAGAAAATGAAGTACCTTATTTTTATAGAGAGAAAAGCTGAGATATAGTGAAATTGTTGACAAATACATGACAGATCACTGCAGATAAAAAATAAGTATACCCTCTATAATCTACCTCAAGTGTGTTTTACCATTTAGTGTAATTTGTGTTGTTATTGAACTTTCTTTCCAAGCTGCTTGACAGGCTTTGCACACACTTGTAAAAATTTGGCTTAAACCATTTCTACTAGATTTTGGCTGAGAAGTGTTACATTATACAATATTGGCATGTGATATTCCTCTATCAATATAGCTTTATAATGATGACCTCCTAAAGATTATCAAAACAGTTGTGAGAAAGAATTATTAGGGTTAAATAATAAGTACATGTAAAGTCAATTTGGGTTTGTTGTGTGAAATATAAAAGTGATTGTCCATTTTTTTGACAGATGGCAAGATTTTAAATATTATTTTCAATACAAAATGAAGGACATATTTTGATACCAACATGACATCAGAACTATCACAGGAACCACAGAGTTCAGTGAGAAGAAAATGATTCTAGTTACTTCCAGTAATATAGAGCATTCTGCAACATGTTGGAAATCCTGCATGTTTCTTAATAGGTAAAGCAACTCTAGGCTTGGAAGTTCTAGTAAACTTTTTTTAACTACATCTCAAGGGAAATATCAGTAAGGTCACAGCAGAAGAAAACATTCCTCAATAGTCATTCCATTCGACACCCTGCTTGATCTAGAAATTGGAGAAGATATAGAGATAAGGGTCTCAGGACATGTACAGTATCATCCTCTAAATGCTAATCAAAAAGAAAAATATCAGGAAACTGAGAAGTCAAAAAGTGTGTTGGAGTATCAAAATAGGATATATTCACTTTGCTGTCATCTCTCAGAGTACTGACTCACATTTTAAATGAAAGCAAGCACAAAGATTGCACAACATATAGAATTCTACTTTGCAGGCAAATATAGCCTAAAAGCATTCACAGGAACAGATTACCTTTTCTTTGTCCAATTCACAATATAATGTATAGTAAAGTCATAGAAATGGTGTTAACAATCTGAACTGTGAATTCTTTCAAAGCATGGTGAGGTGGACCATGTTTCAAGTCCAATTCAAATATTTACTACATATGTGAGTTTTCTACCAGATGAAGGTTATTAAATTCTTACTTAACTAAATTTTGTTTATTTGAACTAAAACCCTGAACATAATTGGCAACAGAGAAACCTCTTCATCTCAATCAGCTTTCTAGAGGAATATTAGGTAAGAAATGTTTCACCTGATCTAATTTCAGGTCTAGGTGTAAATATCTTATATCTTAAGTTTACTATCTACACAACATCCAGCAAATTTTTATATGTAGACTCATTTTGACAGAATATTTACAATCGAATTATTTTTTGTTTATAATATGTACTTATAAGCTAGCAATAAATAGGACAGTATAAAGTTTACTATAAATGAAATATCAAAGCTAGAAAAGTTGTAATCCTAATAATATGATGGTTTTAAAGACTCAGAGCAAAGTACATTCTAAGTTTTAAAAAATATGCTTAGCAACAATAAGAATGCTTCACAATTCATTGATTATTGAAAATAAGCAGGCTTTAAAATTGTATGTACGCGATGTTCCCAAATTTGTTTTAGAAGACACAGGTATTTGTCTATATACTTTGTTGAATGAGCGTACAGATAAAATAATCGTTAACTAAGTCAATATATTTTGGATATCTTCTTAAGAGCTGGCGTAATGTTTTCACTACTTGCACCTTAATACTACCCACCATGTTTGTTTTCATTCTCATCCTTCTTTTTTTTTTATTTTTTAATCGCAGGAAATTTTCACATTGCTTTTGAGAAGCTTGACTCCTCTCATTAGATTGCTAGGGCCAGGTGTGGATTTTCTATTGTAGACACACTTCTGACCCTAAAAATCATTGTTCCATTAAAATTATTTCCTACACATTTTTCCAAGTTTTGCCTGCCGCTGTCCTCATTATAATGACAAACAGCTCTCAGCTTTCGACAACATTAATCCACAGATGTTTCTGCTGCCCTTAGTCCTGGCCCAGCTGCAAGGAAAATGTTGACTATAGAAAAAGTTAACATTGCTTTACAATGAGAGACAGCAATAAATAAGGTAAATGACAAAGAAAAGAGGTGAGAAAATATATATAACCAATATTAATAATATCACTAAAGAGTTATGATAAGCAACACTAGCAGATATAAACAGGAAATCTACAGGTAAAGAAATACCCAAAGTTTTGGAAAATAAAAATTAGTTTAACTTCAACCCCATTAATATGTAGGGAATTATACATTGAGAGAAAATCCCATGAAATACATTTTCTCATGGTCATGTGTATAGGAAATAATAATTTCATTAAGTTTGATGTTTTAGAGAATGAGGAAAGTGGTTTCTCCTTTCATGTGAGTAATAGGGGCAATTTAATTTGTTCTAAAATAAAAATGTTTATGTCTTGCCTGTATCAATCCTATATCAATATTGTATTAAGAAATTTGTAACAAGAGATTTTCTTACAAGGGTACAAAGACATACATAAATGTCTAATGTAGCATTAGTATTTATACAAGGAAAAGACTAGAAACAGCTTTGATTAGTGCAGGCATCATTACATACATTATAATGTTTGTAATGTGTAGCAGTATACTGACATTTCTGAGAAGGAGGCATATTTCCATATACTGAGAGATTTTAATAATTTTTGAGGTAGGTACCTGTGTTGTCTTTTCTCTGACATGATCACTATCTGAGAAAAAGAAGTATGTTTAATACTATGGTAATGCTAATATTTGGATAATTATGAGATCATAAAGACAAAGGAGTTGTACAAAGGAGATATATCAGAAAATATTTTGATGTACATCAAATTTGTGGATGTAGTCAGCCCTAGATCAAAAATTTGTTAAAACTATTGATACATTTTCTTGAGAGCTAGTGCAATGTACTGGCAACAAAAAACAATTATCAAATACTAAAAAGAGTTTTCAGTATTTTATTTGTTTATGTAATATTTATATTTATCTTGGAATATATTCCTTTCAAAGCATGTAATCTCTAACATTTTAAATAATGATAAGCTATTTACTTTTTTCTCTAGAATATAATTTATTCTTTGCACCATATTATTTAGTATACGGTTTTAAAATGTGTCCCATGCCAATTTACTACTTTATCCTTTCGTTTGTAAAAGTTGATAGGAAAAATTGGGTCATTCTTGTCATACTCACCTAAAACAGAGTTGAGAAGCCATGGTGAAAAAGCACTCAAGGCAAACAACCTTTCCCCAGGAATGTGATTCTCTACAAGTTTGGCTGCTGAAACTGCCTGTTCTAACCTGAAACCAGTTCTAACTATTAGCTGCTGAAACAACCTGCTGGACTCCAGGGGTGGTTTTATCTACCTCTGCTGTTAGGTAGTTAGACAGACATTAGCAGCTGGGAGGGGTCAAAAGAGGAGAGCAAAAAGGCTGTCACTAAAGTCACCTCTGGCCTGCCTGAGTTCATCTTCAAGACCACCCTAACTCCACCGTAAGGGATGGAGTTTGTGGTAAAGTTTGTGGCCAGAACACCCTGAAGAAAGAGAAACTGGGGCACAGGTGGAAATTCCCTAAAGTGGAGCATGCCCAGTAATATAAAACCGTGTCCTCAAGGTCACCCCAAGTTCATCATACCATCAATATAATAAAGTTTACCACCTGGTGTGGTGGCTCATGCCTGTAATCCCAAAACTTTGGGAGGCCGAGGCGGGTGGATCACGAGGTCAGGAGATCAAGACCATCCTGGCCAACATGGGGAAAGCCTGTCTCTACTAAACATACAAAAATTATCTGGGTGTGGTGGCGCACACCTGTAATCTCAGCTACTCCAGAGGCTGAGGCACGAGAATCGCTTGAACCCAGGGGCAGAGGTTACAGTGAGCCAAGATCGTGCCACTGCACTCCAGCCTGGCAACAGAACAAGACTCTGTCTCAAATAAATAAATAAATAAATAAAATTTACATGTGGTTTTACCCTCCACCCCACCAAGTGGGCTTTTCTGTATGAATTATGGGTAAGAAGAACATGCACAATTTAACTTCAGTTACAGGGCCAATCAAATGACATCATCCTGTCACTCAAACGCAGCCCAACCCCCAACTCCTTCCCACAAACACAGTAAAAGCACCTTAAGCTTTGTAAAGAAGTTCTGATTTCACTTTGCAGAAATCAGCCCACTCTCACTCAGAGCGTCTTATGGTGCTTCAGTAAACTTCGCTTGGAGCTTGCATTTTGGTGCTAGTTCGCAATTCTTTGCTTACTATCACAAGAACTGTGATTGCCGGTCCAGAGCTCTGGCTCTTTTGATCTCCTCAGTTAAAGGATTCATCCCAACACAGAATTTCTGGTAACACTGTCACTTACCAATCAGAACTTGCCAGTTCAAAACTTTACTAGTTATCAATCAACTTGCTTAAAGGGCCATATATAACACTTCTCTTCTCAGAACATTTCTTTTTTTATAATACTGCTAATTTTCACTTCATTCTTCACACATGCTGAAGTCCACCCAGTCTGTGAGTGTATGCTTTGAATTACAATTCTTGCTTCCCAAATTTAAACATTTTAAATGTAGAGATTCATCTCTGCATTTCTATTTTGACTTTGATACATTAATAGTATTTTTTTCATTTTTAATGGCATTGGTGTGTCTCCTTTGTCATGAAAAATTTGCCTTATTAATTAGCTTTCAAATGCTGTTTTCAATAAATATTGTACACTATATCTTAAGCTAGACAAGTTTTTCTTGTTTAAAATCTAATGAAATTTTTATCCATCATGAATACTAATAATAATTGTGATAGTATTGTTTGTATTATTATACCCTATAAAAATAAACCTTAACTTTTATTGCAAATATGAAAAAATAAACAAATCTATTAAAAAGCTTAAAGGTAAAAGTGGTCAATTAGTTAAAATCAGCATATACTTTCAATAATTATTGATAATTGACATAAGAAATTGCTTTTCCGAATATTATGTAGACATTTTAGGTAATATAAGCAACATTGTCTTTATAAAATCAGTACATTTATATTTAAATATACTGTCATAGAGCATAGCTATAATCAAAATTTTGTCATAAAGCATAGCTATAATTAAAATTTTGAACTTTTGGCATTCTTTTTTTTGAGACAGGGTTTTGCTCTTGTTGCTAGGCTGGAGTGCAATGGCGTGATCTCCACTCACTGCAACCTCCGCCTCCCAGGTTCAAGCGATTCTCCTGCCTCAGCCTCCTGAGTAGCAGGGATTCCAGGTGCCTGCCACCATGCCCAGCTAATTTTTATATTTTCAGTAGAGACGGGGTTTCACCATGTTGGCCAGGCTGGTCTCAAACTCCTGACCTAGTGATCCACCCGCCTCGGCCTCCCAAAGTGCTGGGTTTACAGGCCTGAGCCACTGTGCCTGGCCAAACTTCTGGCTTTCACTGATGACCGTCTGACTTGGAAAGACTATAACTTCCACATATTACCCCTATAAAATCTGGACTAATTAAAAACAAGGAAACATATACACAACAAAATAATATGAAGGTACTGCAGAGTAATTAAGCATACAGAGAACAGAGGGGATCCTACCCTGGAAAGACAAATGAGAATTGCCATTTGCCACGTATTGCCTGAGCTCACTACCCTATAATGTGTAAAACTGCAACCTTCAATAAATTGAGATGTCAGATCACATAGTATGAGACTGGCAAATCTGTAGGAATGTTGGGAAGGTTCTAGAAAGAAAGAAGACACAGAAGACTTTTGCATTGAATAGGCATTCAAATACTTATCTGATTATAATTTACCTGTTTGAAAGAGGAACCAGAGTTGTCATGAAACAGCAGCTGAAAACTTAAGAAACTGAGGGAAGATTTCAAGTGTTTCCTAACACAGAGGAGGAAGAGTTGTGTCCATCTAAGCTATTGGCCTGTTTAACAAAAATCCTTCTTGAAAAGAACACAAAAACTCCATATCTTTATAAAGTGTTATTTATAATGTCCAAACCTGATTACAAATCTTCAAATATGAGAAAAAAATGATAAAATGTATCAATAGCCAACAAAAATATTTATAAGTAGAAGCCAATTAACACAGATTAACCCAGATGTTGCAACTGACTGAAAAGAACTTTAGTGTAACTTACATAAATATGCTCATGACACTAAAAATATACACAATGAAAAAACATTTCAAATATCTAGGAAGAGATGTAGAAACTACAAAAACATTCAAATGAAAATCTGCAAGCTGAAAGTAACATAAATGGAATAAAATGAAAAATAATGAAATTAAAGCAGAGTGCCAAAAACAAATAAATCACCCATAAACTTAAGGATAGATTAGTAGATACACAATCCAAAAAACAAAAATACAATATTGAGTCTCAGGGGTCTTTGGAAAAAACATCAAATTGTCTATCATACACGCAGGGAGATCATCAGAAAGGAAGGAAAGAGACAATGTGGCCAAAACAAAATTTGAAGAAATAAAGGTCAAAACCTTCCAAAATTTGATGAATATTATTACACACAATTCTAAGAAATACAAAAAACTCTATGCAGAATAAATGCAAGTAAAACCACGCTGAGTGTATCATAATGAAACTGCTAAAATCAGAAGCAAAAGAGAAAATGATTAATGCATCAGATTGAAAACCTCTTTTTGTACAGAAAAAGAAGAAAAAGAATAGCTGCTAGTTTTCATCAGAATTGGAGGGGGAAGTTGATGGAACAACTCTTTAGAGGTTGGAATAAATCTAAGTTAGAGCATATATCTATAACATAATTTAAAAGAAAGACAAAATCTCTCTGAGGTAAGCAAAAACAGATAACTCATCACTGGCAAATTATCACTACAAGAAATACTAATAGAAGGTCTTTAGGTTAAATATGTGTGGCACTTGCAGATAAATTAGATCCATAGGAAGAAATAAAGCAGACCAAATGAGATATTAGACAATTTAAATGACCAACTATAATACTATAGATGTATTAAAGATTTAGGATCTCTTCATGTGTAATGCATATGACAGCAATAGCATCAAGCAGGTGGTAAATGTAACTAAAACATTGTTAGGTATATTTATTTTATTGGAGGTAGTAAAATATAGCCTCTAGTCAACTTGTGATAGGTTAAAATGTATAGAAATAATGCCTAGAGTACCCAATAAAATAATAATTACATAAATAAATACAGAAACACATACATTCAAAGCATCATAACAGGAAATATAGTAAAACAGTAAAAATGGAGTTCTAAGTATGTATTTTTTCGAGACAGAGTCTCACTCTAGCACCCAGGCTGAAGTAACACGGCATGATCTTGGCTCACTGCAACCTCTACCTTCTGGGATCAAACGATCTTCCTTCCTCAGCCTCTTGAGAAGCTGGGACTACAGGCATGTGTCACTATGCTTGCCTAATTTTTGTATATTCTGTAGAGCTGGGATCTCACTATGTTGCCCAGGCTGGTCTCAAACTCCTGAGCTCAAGCGATCTGCCTACCTCAGCCTCCCAAAGTGCTGGGATTACAGGATGAGTCATCCTGCGTCATCCTGCCTGGCCTTGAATTTTATAATTTTTAAATTAACAAGGCAGAAAATTAGAAGCAGAAAGATACAAGAAGAATGCAGACTTATGGAAAAAAATAGAAAAATTACAGACAGTAACCAAATACTTAAATAATCATGTGAAAATTAGTGATTGTCCAAATTTGCAAGATCAATTACCTGATGCTAACAGAAGGAAACAGTTTCAATCAATGCAACAAATAAGTTAAAAAGATAAAAAGGAAATATTGTAGAACAAAAACCAAAAAATCTTGTACGATTATGTCCTAGTTTAATAAAATTGGCTTCAAGAAAAGGATATAGCAATGCTTTAATGAAAGGGTAAATGTATTAGGAAAACATAACTCGTATATATGTATGCACTCAAATGGAGATTTTCAAAAATTTTAAAGGAAACTGAGAGAAAGAAAGGAAAAAAACATAAGTCTCAGATGGAGATTTAAATATTTCTCAAAATTTGATAAATCAACTAGACTGTAATAATGCAGATATGTTTGACAAAGACAAATATTGTTACCAGAACCCTAAGAGTTTGGCCTAGGTCCCACTGCTCAGCACACAGAAAGCCAATCACTGAAACAATAGGTATTGCCAGGGAAGTTGCTTTAATTAGGTGCTGCAGTTGAGATCAATCTGTCATCCATCTACCCGAATGACTAAAATTAGGGGTTTATAGAGCAGGGAATAAATGTAACCATGTATGGGAAAACAGGAATTGGGAAAGGATAAGGAAAATAAGTTGTTCAACAGGAAGCAGATGGTCAGTTAGGGAATCATGATGGGTGAAGGGTCTAGCATCTGATTATCCAGATGTGGGTGGTGATCTGGTAAGTTTCAGCTCCTTGATGCTATCTGGGAGGCCCGATGGTTGGTTTCCTGAGAAAGGAACTCAGGTAAGGCAAATGTAACTTTCTCAAGTTTTAATACTGGAAGGATCAATTTCTATGTTTATTTGAAGAAACCATAAACATCAGTACTATGGGACAATTGGGCCAGTTTCACCACAATAGGCTAATGACATTTAAAGAACATATAATATCAAACTGCTGAATATACATTTATTTCACACATGCAATACTGTAGTTGAGTAAATTTCAAATGGTTGAAATTTATATGGTATGTTCTTTGACTAAAATTAAGTATTAGGTTTTTTTTTTTGACAGAGTCTCACTCTGTTGCCCAGGCTGGAGTGCAGTGGCATGATCTCGGCTCACCACCTTACCACAACCTCCACCTCCCAGGTTCAAGTGATTCTCCTGCCTCAGCCTCCCGAGTAGCTGGGATTATAGGTGCACACCACGACGTCCAGCTAATTTTTGTATTTTTTTAGTAGAGACGGAGTTTCACTATGTTGGCCAGTCTGGTCTCAAACTCCTGACCTCATGATTTGCCCACCGCGGCCTCCCAAAGTGCTCGGATTACAGGCGTGAGTCACCGCACCCAGCCAAGTATTAGTTTTCTGAATAGATGAATAAAATTTATAGCCCTCTGGAAAGACTGGATACTTCATTTCATGAAATCATGCAAAAATTAGATAAGGTCACACTGAAGTAACCTTGGGTTTTCTCAAGACTAAGCATTGATTAAAAGTTCAGGATTAAATGTAGAACTGGAGTTAAAAATCTAGAATAATCAATTTCTATTATTTTTCTATTGGAATACAGTAGTCATCAATGCAATGAAAATGTAGATAATACATTATGGAATGATTATTTGATTAATGGCCATGAAATGACTTTAATACAAATGGTTCATCTTATTTTCTATGTATCTTTAGCTCCAATTCAACAACAAAAAGGCCAAAAAATTATTGGAAGCCAACTACTATAGCATAAGGACAAATAATTGAAATTCAATGAAGCCAAATATCTCTGCATATAAAGATATGCTTTACATGTAAATTAAACTAATTAGCCTGAAAGAGTTAATGCAACCTTCCCAAAGGCACTGTTCTTAATAGTGAAGAACAGTTTACGGACTGGGTGAATCTGGTTCATAAAGCCTGAGAGACTTAAGACTGTCTAGTTCACACTTTTTTTTTTCAATGTAGGATACTGAGACATGGAACATTTGTAAGAGTTTTCAAAGTTTACACTAGTAGTAGAATAATCTACTTAATTAAGTGTTCATTCTACTACAGTCAAACATATTAAAGGCAATTTAATAAAATTTACTTAATATATATCCAACATAAACTTTCCAAATATATAATTTAATGTGTGTGATTTTTAAGGTTAAAAATTGATTGTCCCACTTATCCAGGTTTGCTCATTACACAGTGTATCTTGTATCAAAATATCACGTGTACCCTATTTATATATAGTATTATGTATTCATAAAATTAAAAATAAATTTTTGAAAATTTATTGCCTTTTGCATAGTTACTTGTGTTCTACTTTTTTCTACCATGTTGATTTTTCATCTTGGATATCTGGGAGAAAATACATGTTTTCATTGGCATCTGTAATATTTACCTTTTTATGCAGAAATAGAAATAATATGGAAATCTGATTTTTTCCTAAACTCGATGTGAAAATTATAATTAAATAATATGATATTTTTTCTATCCTATGGGTATAATTTATTAATATGTTTTTAAAGAGAAGTTAATGGAATAGAATTATAATATAAACTCTGCTATTATGGAAGTATGACTAAATTTGAACCTTAAGTATAAATTAGATGACCGCCATAATATAGACCGTCTCTACTTATATTCACCATGTATTTCTGAAAGTTGTTTTCTGAATGTGAATTTGTATAAAGCAAAATTATGATTGTATAACTGCTGCTGCTGTATGTACTTGCTAGCCTTTCTTAATGCAGAAAACAAGGCCAATTGTCTCACTATTATTTCACTAATTTTATTATGTATTTATCATATGCCTATGTATGCTTGATAATATGGTAAGACCTAAGGGTATAACGAGGGCAAGTATAGCCTCATTCCTCAAATAACTTACATCTTATAGATTTTCAAAAATTTTTTGCATTTCTATGTAAACCATGTATTTGAATATCACTGAATATATCCTATTGCATTTGTTATACATTTACCAATATCTTGCGAGCTTTCTCAACAGAGTATTGCTATTGCCAAATTCTCATCACTTGGGAAAAAACCTAGAGCATTACTGTGAATAATATAGTTGGGATAGAAATAGTCAATACATATGTTTGGACAAGATCCTTGTTCTTAATTAATCCAATAAGAATATTTAAAGCTTTGGCATAAATAGTTCAAACATTTTATGCAAAAGGATGAGCCATATAAATATTTTAAAGCACACATACAAACTTTTATTGATTAAATGTACTACCAATGTTCTTCCTTAAGTTATAAGAACTTTACATTCTGCTATAATTCTATTAAAAACCTAATTTAACCAATCTTTTAGTGTATCCAAAGCATTTGTCTTATTGTATTTTTATTTTTAATGAAAATATTACACACCAGAAAATGAAAGTTTAAATTAAAAAACTATAATAATGCTTTGTTAAAGCAATAAATATCATACACACACATATACACAGTAATGTTTTGCTTAATGATGAGAATGCATTCTGAGAAATGCATCTTATAGGGTACTTATATAAACCTAGATGGTATAACCTACTACATACCTAGGTTATGTGGTACACCCTATTACTCCTAGGCTGTGCATCTGTACAGCATGTTACTGTACCATACCGTAGACAACTGTAACACAATAATATCTACTTATGTATCTAGACATGTCTAAACACAGGAAGTATATAGTAAAACCATGGTATTATAATCTTATGGGACTATTGTCATATATACAATCTGTTGTTGACTAAAACATCATCATGTGGTAGATGACTGTATATATAATATCTGTATCTTTGTAAAAGTTTGAACATTCACTGTAATTTGCCTTTTTTGACAACTGTATAAAAGAAGCTCATATATCTATGGCAAAAAAATATTGATTTTCTTTCTCTGTTGCAGAAAAAAATTAGGAATACCTGTTTCTAAAAGAGCAATTTGCTAAAAATACATTATATTTTATGGCTTAGACTTGATTATTAAAATCAGGCTGAAACCAAGATACACTGACTTTACTATATTATTACAAATTGATAATTTTTATTCATACATTACCATCATATATTATGAAAAATATATTTTGTAATATATCATGGAAAGTCTTGACATATTCCCCTGGAAATTTTTTTTTTATTAAAAGCCTAAAATTTCCTGGCGTGTTTGCTCATGCCTGAAATCCCAGCACTATGGAAGGCCGAGGTGAGAGGGTTGCTTGAGCCCAGGCATTTTGAGACCAGCGTGAGCAACATAGTGGAGCCCCTTCTCTACAAAATACAATTAAAAAATTAGGTGGGTGTGGTGGCATGTGCCTGTAGTTACAGCTCATTGGGAGGATGTTGCGGGAGAATGGCTTGAGCCCGAGAGGTATGGATTACATGAGACATGATTGCACCACTATGCTCCAGCCTAGGTGACAAAGTGAGACCCTGTCTCAATTTTTTTAAATTAAAAAAAAAAATTTTTAAGGTCAAAATGCTATTTTTCAAAAAAGTGTATAATACTTTCTATGTATGTACAATTTCAACTTATGTATGAATATTTTTGATATAAATAATAATGGATTATCTCAATTAAAAGCAAATGAAATGTATTAAAATGGTTGGAAATCTAAATGAATTATTCCCATATTATTTTTCACAAAAAATGGGATTTTTGGTACTGATGAAAGATGTACAGATCACCGCCAACCCAAAGTAAATTGCCTCCCCTCACAAATGATTTCTCTGGCATAGTTTCCATGATTTTCATAGGCAGCTTTCAGACCAGATGGCTTAATTCAGAATTACATAGTGTGTTCAAACTTATCATTCCACCTTCACTATTTTCAGTAGGTGACTTTGTTTACTAATTCATAAAGAAAGGGAAGTTTTCAATTTATTGAAAACTCATTTTTAAACACATACATGTATAAGAAACTATTTTATGTGTGTGTTTGTATACATACATATTACATACGAAGTATTCAATAAATGAGCTGTTGTTTTATATTACATATTTACTCATGGAATATAAAATAGTGAGCACATTTTATGTATATATATGTAATATATATACACATACATAAAATGGAATGCATTATATTTCTATCTAGAAAAACATTGGTTTATAAATACTTTTTGAGGACTTCTGGTTTCCTGTACAGCATATAAGAAGCTTGAAAGTTGTTATTCTATCCTAACAAATAAAAACATGAACAAACTGAAAAATCAATAACTCTTCTTAGATCCCTCAGAGAAATAAGGTCACAAGGCGAACCACTGCCTCCCAAATTAGGAAGATAAGCAGAAGAATATGAAGAATCACAGCTTACTAGAACAGAAACAGAAAGACAAAACTCAACGGGAACCAGGTGCCTGGGTAGGAAAACCTGAAGTGTAATTGACAAACTGTTGGAGGCTAAGCATGAACAAGTCTGAGAGATTAAAAACTCCAGACTCAGACATGGCAGGGAAGCACATTGCTGTGAGTTTAGTCTTCTGGAATTTGATCAGGCACTTACAGTGAATTTCAAAGGAAAAATCCCCTTGTGCATTCTTCAGGGGGAGAGGAAATAAACAATTTTGAAATACACCAAAGCTTTCCATTTTCTTAAGAAGGTCTGTAGTCAGAAAAAAACTATTTAACAACAGGTTAACCTGCTGGGATTTTATCAGAGCTAACTGACTTAAGAGCAGAGAAATCCCCAACTCCAGCCCCCTCTAGCTATGCTGTCTCAACTAAAAAGAAAAATGGGAATGCCCATAAAGTTCACAGTTGAGACGTACAAGCTAACTAAAAGATGGGGACCTAATGATAGGATTATTGAATGCTTCACATTCCCCAACTCCTTAACCACCACATTACTGCAGGCTTATCTACAGCAGTTCCTTTCATACAGTACATCCTGTCAAACTATGCAGAGAAAATTGCAAGACATACCAATAAGAAAAACAATAACAACAACAACAAAAACAGTTTGAAAAGACAGCAAACATCAGAACCAAACTTACATATAGCAGGGGTATTTAAATTAACATATCAGGATTTGTTTTTAAACTTTTAAGTTCAGGAGTACATGTAAAGGTTTGTTATAAAGGTAAGTTTGTGTCTTGGGGGTTTGTTGTACTCAGACCAGGAATTTAAAACAATTATGATTAATATGCTTAGGGTTGTAATGGATAAAGTAGACAATATGAAAAAATACATGGGCAATGTAAGCATAGAGATGGGGAATCTAAGATAGAACCAAAGAGAAATGGCAGTGATCAAAAACAGTCACAGAAAAGAAGAGTGACTTTGATGGGCATAATGGCAGACTGGATATAGTCAAGAAAAACCTTCTGAACTTTAGAATATCTCAATAGAAACTTCCTAAATTGAAAAGCAAAGTGAAAAATATACTAAAATAAAAAAGAATGGAATATCTAAGAACTACAGGATAACTAAAAATGGTGTGACATCATGTAATGGAAATACCGGAAGAAGAAGAAAGAGAAAAGGTAACAGAAAAATATTTGAGACAGTAATAAAGGAGGGTTTTCTTAAGTTAATATCATACACTATACCACAGGTTTAGAAAGTTTAGAAAGCACCAAGCAGGATAAAATTCAAAAACAAACAAACTACACCTAGTCATATCATTTTCAAACTACACAAAATCAATAAGAAAGAAAAAGTCCTAAAAGAAAAAAAACCGTTTACCTGTAGAGGAGCAAAGACCAAAATTACATCTGACTTACTTTTTTTCAGAAACCATGTAAGTAAAAAGGGAGTGGAGTGAAATACTTAAAGTATTGAAAGAAAATAATCATCAGACTAGAATTCTGTACCCTGCAAAACTATCTTTCAAAACTGAAGGAAAACTGAAGACCTTCTCAGATATAAACTGATGGAGTTTGTTGCTAGTAGGCAGGTCTTGCAACAAATGTTAAAGTTCTTTAGAGACAAGGAAAATGACACAGGTCAGAAACTTGGATCTACATAAAGAAAGGAAGATCAACAAAGAAAGAATAAGTGATTAATTTTTTGTTCTATTTTTAATTGATGCAGCAGATAACAAATTGTACAAATAATAAAAGCAATGATGCATTCAACTAGGTATATATGTATGTATATATGTGTACATAAATATACATGTGTATGCTTATGTATAAGTGAAATAAATGACACAAATGATGCAAATGACAGGAGGTGGGAGGAATAAGGATGATTTTGTAATTATTAAGTATTCACATTTCCTGTGAAGCAGGAGAGTGATACTCAAAGTGGACTTGAATTAATGTAAATGTTTATTGCAAACTATAGTGCAATCACTAAAAATCGTGAAAAAATACAACTGACATGCTAAAAAAAGGGAGAAATTAAAATTATATAAAATGCTCAAATCAAATCCAAAATGTAGAAAAAAAGAGGTAGAAGGTAAATGTGGGAGTTAAGAACATGGGCAACAAACATAAAATAGTAACAAATACAGTAGATACTAATCAAAATGTATAAATAATCACTTTAATTTTCAGTAGTCGAAATACATCAATTAATTATTAGACATTGCCAGAATGGATCAAAAACAATATACAGTTCTATGTTGTTTAGAAGAAGCTTACTTTATATATAAAGATACATATAGAATAAAAAGTATATGGGGAAGTAAAGATGTATGATGCTAAAACCAATAAAAATAAATTGAGCGTAGTTATATTAATTTCAGATAGAAGAAGAAAAGTTTTCAGGGATAAAAATGGTGTTACATATGACAAAATATTCAATTATCCAAAAAATAACAGTTTAACACGTATAAGCCTAGCAATAAAGCATCAAAATATGAGGCAAAATCCTATAGAACTATCTTCCACTGGGTCCCTCCACAACACGTGGGAAATAGATGAATCTACTAGTTTACTTGGAGATTTCAATACTCTCTGTCAATTACATTCTATATTTATGAATGTAAAGAATCACTAGTGTCAAGGTATCCAGATGTCAGGTCTTTCCATCTTAATCTATAGCTATAATAGAATGCAATACCCATTGCAACACCAGAAAGTTTTTTTTGTGGATATTGGCAAATTGATTCTGAAGTTTCTATGGAGAGACATAAGACCCAAGATATGCAACATAATAATAAAAGAGAAGAACAAAGTTGAAGACTGATGCTACCTGACTTCAAGACTTACTATAGAGATACAGTAGCAAGACAATGCGGTACTGGCAAAAACAGACAAATGGATCAATAGAACAGACTAGAAATCCTAGAATTACACCTACACGAATACAGTCAACTAATCTTTGACAAGTGTTGCAATCTCTGCATTGCTCTAAAGGAATTCCTGAGACTAACTTATCTTAAAAAAGAGATTTATTTGTGTATTAGTCTATTTTCATGCTGCTGATAAAAACATACCCAAGAATTGGCAATTTACTAAAGAAAGAGGTTTAATTGGACTTTCAGTTCCACGTGGCTCAGGAGGCCTCACAATCACAGTGGAAGGTGAAAGGCACATCTTACATGGCAGCGGGCAAGAGAGGGGATGAGAGCCAAGTGAAACGGGTTTCCCCTTATCAAACCATCAGATCTTGTGAGACTTATCCACTACCAGGAGAACAGTGTGAGAGAAACTGCCCCCGTGATTTAGTTATCTTCCACTGGGTCCCTCCACAACACGTGGGAATTATGGGAGTATAATTCAAGATAAGATTTGGGTGGGGATACAGGGCCAAACCATGTCAATGGAATTCACAGTTCTGCAGGCTGTACAAGAAGCATGGAACCAGCATCTGCTTCTGATGAGAGCTTCAGGAAGCTTCTGCTTGTGGTGGAAGCCGAAGGAGAGCAGGCATCATATGGCAAGGGGGTAATGAAGAGAGAGGGGAGGGAGATGCTAGGCTCTTTTTAAAAATCTGCTCTTGTGGGAACTAATAGTACAACAAGAAATTCATTATCACAATGATGGAACCAAGCCGTGTATGAGGGATCTGCTTCCATTGCCCAAACACTTCCCTTCAGTCACCACCTCTGAAATTGGTGATCAAATTTCAATGTGAGATTTGAAAGGAATAAAAATCTCAACTGTATCAACAATCAAACCAATGCATTTCAATGGAGAAAAGATAGTCTTTTCAACAAGTGGTGCTGAAACAACAGTAGATTCACATGCAAAAAATTAATAAATAAATAAATCTAGATGCAGTCCTTTTGCTGTTTAGAAAAGTAAACTTATGAATCACAGATACATGTAGAATATAAAGCTATAGAAATGTCTAGAAAATCACATAGAATAAAATCTAAATGACCTTCGGTTTGCTGATGACATTTTAGATATAATACCAAGGATATTATTCATAAAAAAACAAGAACTGGTAAGCTAGACTTGAATAAAATTAAAATCCTGCATTGCAAAAGATACTTTCAATATAATGAAAAGAAAAGTCACCGACTGGGAGAAAATATTTGCAAAAGACACATCTGATAAAGCACTGTTATCCAAGTAAGATGAGTAACACTTCAAAACTCAACCATAAAAAAAGCAAACAATTTGATGCAAAAGTGGGCCAAAGACCTTAACAGACACTTCACCAAAGAAGATATGCAGATGGAAAATAACATATGAAAAGATGTTTTATATCTTATGTCATCAGGGAAATGCAAATTAAAACAATGTGAGACTACTACACACATATTAGAACTGTCCAATTTCAGAACACTGACGATACCAAAAGCTGTTAAGGATGTGGAAATACCAAATGCTGTCAAGTATGTGGAAATACAGGAAACTATGTTCATTACTGGTGGGAATGAAAAATGGTACAGCAATTTAGGAAGACATTTTGTTTGGCAATTTCTTACAAAACTAAACATCCTTTGTCTTAGTCTGTTTTGTGTTGCTATAAAGAAATACCGAAGGCTAGGTAATTTACCAAGATCAAGTTTATTTGCATTATGTTTCTGATGTCTGAAAAAGTTCAAGATTAGGTATCTTGTAAGAGCCTCCAGCTGTTTCCACTCATGGTAGAAGGCAAAGAGGAACTGGAATGTGCAGAGATTACACGGTGAGAAAGGAAGCAAGAGAGAGAAAGAGGATAAGGTGCCAGTTTCTTGTTTAACAATCAGCTGTCCTGGGAACTAAGAGTAAGAACTCACGCCTGAAGGAGGGCATTAATCTATTCATGAGGAATCTGCCACTGTCACTCAAATGCCGCCCATTTAGCCGACCTCTAACATTGGAATCAAATTTTAGCATGAGATTTGGTGGGTACAAACAGTATATTCAAACTATAGCACTTACCATATGGTTCTGCAATCGTGCTACTTGGTATTTACCCAAAGGAGCTAAAAACTTATGTCCACATAAAAAGCTGCAGAAGGATGTTTATAGCAGTTTTATTCATAATGACCAAAACTTGGAAGCAACCAAGATGTTCTTCAGTAGGTGAACGGATACATAAACTGAGGAACATCCAAACAATGGAATATTATATAGATCTAAAAAGAAATGAGCTATAAAGACATGGCAGAAACTTAAATGCTTGTTACTAAGTGAACAGAAAATCCACTGTATGATTCCAACCATATGACATTCTCAAAAAGGCCATATGATGGGGCAGTAAAAAGATGAATGGTTGCCAAATGTTAGAGAGAGGGAGGGATAAATAGGCAGAGCACAGAGGATTTTTAGCGCAGTGAATCTACTCCGCATGAAACTAAAATGAGAGCTACATTTGTTTAAATGCAGTTTGGAAACGTGAAATTTGTCTGATAATGATGAGTAAATGCAAGTTCAAAAATTGTAACAAAATGTACCACTCTAGTGGGAGATAGAAAAGGCTATGTATTTGTCTAGGCAGGGTAATTTATGGGTATTTTACACAGCTTTGGGTAAATTTTGTTGTGAACTACAACCAGTCTAAAAAAAATCTATTAATAAAAAAAGCCAAGCCTGCACTATGTCATGAGGCAAAACACTGGATATTATGATGGTAAATAAAAATTATTACATATACATACAACGAATTACTATTGCAGATATTTTTATTGTCTCTATAACAAAATTATAATGTCTTGAATCATTTCTTATATTTAAGCCAGGGATATTAGAATTTAAATTACAATGAGTTTAAGAATGAATATCAACATATGGTTCTATCCAAAAAATTAGAGTGAGGAAAAGTTAAATGTTAAAATACACTGCCTTCTATTTAATTACAGAGTAAGCTTCATCAGCTGTCTTCAAGAAAAAATTAGTGATAGATTCCATTTCTCTAAAGTAGGTACATTTCTATGGTCAAGTCTCTTTATTCACAATAACACTGATAAAAGAGAATGTCTATTGAGCCTTTTCTCATCATTAAAGACATAAGTAAATTTGGAGACTATTTCTCAGCCAATATCATGTGATTGATAATAAGTTGTATGGCTGAAGTTTGAACATGGGTCTATCTAAATTTAATTAACACTCTGAAGCACTATATCACCCTAAACAAAGTGGAGTATTTTACATATGTCCTGACTGCATGACGAAATAATGCCCGGAAAACAAGAAATATGCATACACACACACCCACATTCAGAAGATAGCATTAATAAAATGTTAACTAGAATTTTTTTTCTCATTCCTTTGTTCATGCATTCAACTACTTATTCATTCATTTATGCTATTATGCATCTACTTTACAATAGTAGCTGCTATATAAATTCTGGGGATAGAAAGGCAAACAAAACAAGTTTCCTGCCTTTGTGGATTATTAATCTAATGATTAATAAAAAACAAATAATAAAATAGTGTATAATGTCTGATCTTAAAAATGTCATCAAGAAAAATAAACTCAGGTAAGTAGATAGAGAATAACAAGAGAATATTTTAAATAGGTGCAGTAAAGGCAGTAATTCAGGCCTACAATGAAGGGAAAGATGAGGCATGTGACTATGGCTGGGCTATTCCAGGAAAAGACTTATAAAGCCTTGAGTCAGGAGTAGTGCATTTGGCATGCGGCAGAATAGAAAAAACCAAGGTAAGGAAGGACAGGACACAGCTTCTCCTGACCATGCAGAGGAATTTGAATTATGTGATCCATAAATTCCCAATGGTTTAATTATTAAACAAAATATATAATTATATAAGTTGTGACTTGCATTTATTTACATGAAAACATCTCTATATTTTCTGTAAAATAATGCTTTATTTGGGGCAATGTATTTAAGATATATATTGATGATCTCAGTGAAAACACATCTATCACCATTAGCTAAATGTTTGAAAAACACATGTAAATATAACTTCATTCTTTAAAATTAATATTGTAACAGCAAATATGTGGAGGGACTTCACTAAATGAATACAGGTGGACCTTGTCCCAGAACTGAATGATTGTTTTAATACGTGAGTTTGTAGAGATGAACTGAGAATGTAGGAATCCTATTCTCTTTTGCTAAACCTGCTCGATTGCTGGAGTCACACTTTCTGTGCCTCAAAAGCTATTACAGTCTCTGCCTCAGGGAAGGTGGCCTGCTGTGGGGTTGGTAAGTGATGCCAATGGCTGTGGTTGGATTTATATTCAATATTGACGTGCTGTCATGGGAATCTCATTATTGCCGTATTACACACTATCTCCTTTATCAACATTAGAATGTTAATTTAATCTTCCTTTTGCTTAACTCCTGTTTTATTCTTGTGATGTTCTGAATCAGGCAGTGAAAGGCATGCTATTGATTGGATTCCAGCCTAGAAATAAAATATAATCAGTAGTAAAAACATCAGTAATTCCATAACAAATTCTAGCATATTCATTCTTTCAAAAATGAACATCCATTTGAATTATTTTGCACAATAATCAGTCAGGCATCTACACAGGTTAATGAATTCACACTGTATTTATTTATATTAATTTATTTGATCTTGTGCTTGAACACAAATGTTGGAATATGGAGCTTACTAACCACACATATATCAAACTTTCATGTGAACCAAGCAAAACATTTTTGGTTACTTGCAAAAATGTTAAAAATAATAAAATCTCACATTAGAAGCTCAGTCACTCAGTAGTGGTGTATTCAGTTTACTCCTCTGGTCTACAAATGTATTTAAGAAGTCTGCACTATTAGCCCTCCTTTCCCCATTAGTAGACATTTCTTCTATTCGCTTCATCCAAGTCTCATATTATACATATGTATGATAACACTAGGGGATCTTGTTTTAAACGTGTTCATCTTTTTATAATTTCATTGCACTCATTTTTTTTCTCCTTATTTACCTCCTTATTCATGACAATCTGCTGTTTTACTTAGACTTTTTCTTTCTGTAATAGTTTTATGGATATCTTCTATTTCTTCCTTGATGTTGCCATTTCACATTTTTAATGCCATTTTCACATCATTTTTTATTCTATGTTTAAAAAGCCAAAATGTTCCTTTATTTCTTTGATAGCTTGCAGAAATGTATGTTAATATTTATATAGTTTGTGGTATAATTAACCTCTTTTGAACACTTTCATCTTTGTTATCCAAATTTTTCTTCATATCATTTTCAAGCTATGAATTCACCTAGGTTCTCTGCAGATAATTTTCTAGTGATCACACTGAGAATTAATTATGGACCAAAGCTTCTCCACCAACACCCTACCTCAGCCTATATAATCTGGTTTTGCTCTGGATAAGAAGTCTTTTTTCTTCCAGCAAATACATATTTCAGCATTACTTTTGTGAATTAACAGTAAATTTAGTTCAGTTGACTAAGTTTAGTTGGTGCAGCACTGTTGACCATAATCTCTGTGTCCTCTCTTTATCATAGCTGTAGCTATAAAGAATGTTTGTTTGCCTGTTGCTCTCATTCAGTGCTGCTTATGTTAGCAAAAGTCTTTAATAGACATCTACCTGGCATAGGAAGGAAGAGACTTTTTAAATTTGACTCCTCATAATGCATAGCCTACCTTTGGAGAACACTTGCACTGCTGTAGGTCTGTACAAGTATGAGACCATGCTTTACTTCAACACTTAATTTTCACTGCACTAGTGAGTCTTTCTTCATAGTTTGTGGCTAGTGGTCATGGTTGACTTCTCATTTTATTGATGATTGAGATGTATTTGCTTGTTTGATTGTTTTTCTTCTTACTCAAAAAAGGAGGCTGATGCAAAATCTTTACTCTGGTATGTTTAGCTATGAGCATTGATAGAAGCACTCTAATTTGTGTTAGTGTTTTGAAGATTTTATGTTTATATATGAAGTTAAAATACTGACATTTGCAAAAATATTTGTAGTCATCATGCATATGAGAATCAAACCTAAGACATATTTTGTCATACCTGGCTGACAAGCCTGAGACACGCCTGTTTCACCCACAGAAACCCTTCCACTGCTGTCTCAAGCTTAGAGTTGGCCTGTGTCAGAATCAGTAAAAGCCACTGGGGGAAACCCTGCCTCTACTAAAAATACAAAAATTAGCTGGGCGTGGTGACGCATGCCTGTAATCCCAGGTACCTGGGAGGCTGAGGCAGGAGAATCACTTGGACCCAGGAGGCAGAGGTTTCAGGGTGCTGAGATAGCGCCATTGCACTCCAGCATGGACAAAAAGAGCGAAACTCCATCTCAGAAAAAAAAAGAAAAAAAAAAAAGAAGAATGCATAATGACTAAATGAGGTTCATTGAGGGATACAAGAATAATTAAAAATTAAAAAGTGAAAAACAGATATAATCAGAGGAGAATTATAGTCATATACAAACTTCAAATAACAGTGGTTTCACTATAAATATAAGGGGAAATTATAAATTATTCAATAAAGTATTTTTAGAGAAATAAAAAAATAGTTATTTTATACATTAACTTCATAGGGGCTAATGAATTTAAATACATAAAATGAGGTGATGCAAAAAGTAACATGTAGCAATGAAAGGAATACAGTACATGTATATATTTATCCTTATGGATTGATCTCAAGCATGCTGTGTATGGCCAGTGTGGTACTCTATTTTTATGTCCATACTTATTTATGTAAGCTTAAATTGTTAAGGCAAATAAATCAACATTTATTTTTTTCTGAATATTTCTTCTCACAATTTTCAACTCTTCCTCTAGAAAACTGAAGGTTTTTTTATCTGGCACACACATATTCGAGATAATTAGAGCATTATTTGAAATTACTATGAAAGTAACACTTTGGAATTGTTCAATTATTTATTGTGTCCTTGATAACTCATGCAAAGACTTAATTTGATTGAAATTGTGTTCTAATTAAATTCACTTTTTCTCTTTACCATCTATACCCAGACTAAATTCATTCTGAATTGTTCCATGTAGAATTAATATGGTTCAACTTTATTTTGACTAATTATGAAACTCTTCATTATATTGAGTGACTAGGTATATAGTTATGTATAATGGAACAGTCAGTGTCTCTAATTTTTCCCTTTGGACTAATTGTCCCTGTCCATGCTCACATTTCATGATCAGTGACTTTCTTTCAGGCTCAACATGAGAAAAATAAAAATTGCCAGGGATGTAAACACCCTAGAGCAGTTCCCAGCCAATGACAGAATAGAGATTCCCTTTATGTTCCATGGGACAAGTCTTGAGACATGGTTTCAAAAACTATCAGAATTTCCACCAGTATTGGGTGGCTGGGAAATCTAAACCTCAGAATATGGGTTTAACAAAGATCACACAGAGATATAGGCAGATAGAACATATGAAAGAGATTAAAGAGCTATTGATAGCAAAATAAAAATTCTAATCTTTAGAATAACATGAAAATATTTGTCTAGCATATCTTGGGTAAAAATGGAAACTAAAGGCAAATGTGTAGACCAGCATATTAACAATTTGATTACATTAAAATATGTATATTTATAAAATCATTACAAATCAAACCTTTGCTATTTACATAAGATGGTCTTAAAACAATGATCTATAATTTTAATCATAAAATATTTGAAAACTGGAAGAAGTAAATGATAAACATCAATACGGAAATTAATAAAATATCAAATATAATACCTAAACAAATTTAAACAGAAAAAATCTAGTGAATAAAAGCATAACTCACTATTTTAGAAAATGGATATATAAGAAGAAATATAAAGAAAATTAAAAGAATATTATGCGTACAGTCTATATAAATTATTTGAACATATACATTCACAGGGTAAATACATTGCTTTATTAGTCTTCTTTTGATGCAGTAAAAAACAGCCACAAAATATCAGTTGTTTTATAGATTTCATTGCATTATGTTCAGAAAAGTAGTTGGTATGATTGGTACTTATTTTATGACATTTAGGTATAAGAATTTCGGGGAGTTTATGCTTAATTTTTCAATGTGTTGTATGAACACTTGAAAATCATACATTCTCTTTTAATCATGTCACAATTCAAAATACGTATATTTGCTTACAGGCATTAAACATAGTACTTACCTCAGTTTTTCTCCAGTCATTATTTTATTTTAATTGTTCTGATTCTAGATAAAGATCACCTACTGAGTCTTGTTTTTATTCTGTGTTGCTTTCCTTTTTCTTACAGTTCTAATTTGCTTAATGTATTTTACTGTTACTTAGTGTGTCAACATTCATGGGAGTTATATCTGCACTTTAGAATTTATTATAGAACATTAGAAAGTGTAAGTTTTTAATATTCAGATATCAAATTACAAAATAAATAATGTGACTCTATTTTCTTACGTTAGCATTTGCCTGACTTATTTTATCTGTCTCTTTACTTTCATTGGTATATACATAAGGAATATCTGCACATTGAATTTATTTTTCTTCCTACCTATGTGAATGTATCTCATTAAAATTAGTCCTTTAACATATATATTTAGTATTACTATCATCTTATTTTCCTCAAGGTGTTTTCTTGGATTTTCATCTTTGATATTGTTCTTATTCTATCTGAGGGCATATGTTCCGGGCCCTGCTTCTCTTATCTCGCATCTGACTCATTATGGTCTATTCTGTTTCTTTCCCTCAGTCCTTCACATTTTTTTTTTTTTTTGAGACAGTCTCGCTCTGTCACCCAGGCTGGAGTGCAGTGGCACCATCTCGGCTCACTGCAACCTCTGCCTCCTGGGTTCAAGTGATTCTGCTGCCTCAGCCTCCTGAGTCCTTCACTTTTTAGGACAGTTACTGATGCCTGTTTTTCTGCTTTTCTGCTTTTCTGTTTTCCTATGGATTTAGGAAGTTGGACTCAGCTGGCTGTTGGTAATACAAATTGTTGAATTTGCTCTCTGCATTTTTTCAGTTATTGAGTTGAAAGTACTGTGCAAGGATTTATTTCCATTCTAAACAGGGTACTGGATAATCCCTCAATTTAGGATGGACTCTTAAGCCTTTGCCAGTGCTTAAGGCAATTTGATATTTATATGCTCCTGTTGCCAACATGTAACCATGAACTGCTCTTCTATTCTCACTCATCAAAGCAGGGACAACAGATGGGGGTGAAATACCACTTTGATTATAGTGACAGACAAGAACAATTACCTGGAGATTTTTGCATTTTTCTTTTAGTGACATATTCTCACTAAAACTTTCTGTCCTTTTGCTTTCTTTCTTTTTTCTTTTTATCGATATTCCAGATCATTAGTTTCTTAGAAAAGTTAAGCATAGACTATGTTATTATAATAAACATGCTTCCCAGTATCAGTTGATTAGCACAGCAAGTTTTATTTCCTCATCATATCACAGTCTGATTAAGGTTGGCTTCTTTCTCTGAAAACTTGCGAATCAGACCCATTCCATTTTGTAGATGTAGGTTGGGAAAACCTGGGTTCCAAATTTCCTGTTGAAAGGCAAAATAAGGCTGTGAGATGGTGTGTAATGAGTCAAGACTCAGAGGGCCAAACCTGGAAGTCTTTTTTATATTACGTAGGCTTATATTCTGCCAATCAGAATTCATTCCTTTGGTCTACAATCTGTGAGAAAGATTTAGAAGTTCAACTTTTGTTCCCAAGAAAATAGCCAGTGTTTTGAACATCTCATATTATCTTTAATAGAGCCTTTTGGTCACCAGACCATTTTATTCTATGTTCACACATTGAAAACTCTCACCCTTCCCTGACAGAGATAATATAAAGTCACACCTGGTCACTGATTGTCGCTCAGAGTCCAAGTTCTGTAGGTGCCATCAGATCCAGATGTGACCCTCTGTAGTTAGGAGACCTATCAATTTAAAAGGTAGATTATCTGCCTCTCTCTAGCACGAGGACTGAATATGCAATGATGGAGAAGGCATAGAATACACATAATGAATGCCCCCATTCATTATATTGTATAATTCTGGACAGCAATTTAAATCTCAATAGGAAGGAATTTTAATAAAGTTCCCAAGCACATGCTGGGAGTGCAGTAAGCACCTTCGCTGGATGAATTCTGCCCACTAGACAGAACCCTTTGTCCACGGTTCTTTAGGAACTCTGGCTTTTAACTCTGAGAAGTTTTTGTTGCATTACTCTCCTTGGCCATTTATAAACTGAGGGATGAAGACGACCCCATGCTCCTTGAGGGTTCCACAATGAGCCTCTGCTTTCCTGAAAGAAAGATAAGAACCAAGGCTTTTTTTTTTTTTTTTTTTTTTTTTTTTGGTCTTGAATATTTAAAGGCTTGTATAGATAAGCCTTGGACTTACCCAGTTCTCCCTGCTTATTTGATTATAGTTCTCAAGAATAACTGTAGAATGTTATCCTGAGATAGAAAGGGACTGGCTAGAACAGACCAGGCTCTGTTCCAGTGCCCCCCGGAAACAGGATGCACTTCAATGCTTTAGTCCAGCGAATCACGTTCCTCTGGAGTATAAAACCAAGGGCAGGCTGCTTTACCGGATCCTTCAACTGCAGGACCAGTGGGGCACACACAGAGAAGACTCCATCTACTTTAGGCAGCTTTCCGGAGCCTTGGGAAAAAGTTCACCATAGATCATCAGCTTCTGTTGGTCCTTGCTGCTTATCTGTAAGTATCAAACCCACTTCATGAAACTTGTGTGTGAGCGTTCAATCTTACTAGACTCAGACAAGTTGGTCACAGAACTTTCTCCACCAATGGTTTCTTTGGTAATCTTGCAAAAATATAAGCAGCTTCTGATCCATTTGCTTCTGCCTCCTAAAATTTCTTTCCGAACGTAGATGTCAAGTGTATTTTACTTCCCTGATTTCTGGCTCTGTGTCTCTTACTAGCTGTTCCTTTGATGCTATCTGAAAAAAAAAAAAAAAAAAAGATAGGAGGGCCATCATTAACTTGATCTTTCACTGGGGTTCACTTTACTAGACCAAGATTCTTTTACTGGCCTATTTTGTATAAAATCTTATGTCAGACATATTCTCTCTTACTCTTGGAAGGCCTTGAATTTCTTGAGTCTCTCTAATATTTCTTCTCATATATTTAAAAATTCACCAATGGCTACAAATACATACTATCATTTTTCTTAATTCTCTGTTTTGTAAGTATGTCATCTGCCTCCCAATTTACAGTAGGTTGTCTTTATATTTGTCAGTCTCTTATATGTCTTGACTTGCAGTCCCTTTTATAATTGCTGCCTTCCTATATGAGACATGAAAATAATGTTTTGCAATGTAAGTTAGATTTTTAATGATGTAGCACCTCACTCCTATATAAAGTTATTTCATGATCAGAATATTCTAAACTATCCTGTGGCAATAAACTGCTAAATCCCTGTGTCTTTGCTCATTAATGTTTTATTTGTTGATCACTTCACAGCTTTCCACAGCTTTCTCCATTAAATGATGATTCTGTGACTTCTTCCTTCTTGTAACTTTACCATCTAACTCAGTGCTTCCAAGGAAGCTTTGAAGGGGGAAAGGGAACGGAGGTAGCACACAGAATTTTCTAAAGGCCCAACTGGAAGTGACTTGCTTCACTTTTCTTTATATTCCATTGTCCAGAACTTGGTTGCATGGCCTGCAAACTGACTTCAAAGAAGTGTTGGGAATGTGGTTTTCCTGTGTTTCTAAGCACAAAAAGAGTGGAATGAATTTCCTGATATACAAGCTTATCATTAACAGTCAATTAGCATCAGGAGGTTATCATAATTTTTGTTTTCTTTTCTTCTGTATATCAAGCCAAGAAAAAAAAATCCTGCACATTTTAAAAAACTCATATGGTGGTCACTATACATCATGCATGGGAAAGTGAATTTTTTAATATTGAAATAAATTACATGTCTGTGTCCCTAGACCAAATACCCATATCCCTTTACTTAGTATTTTTCCTAAATGTGTTTGAGGTTTTATAATTTCCATACTTTTCACTTTCCATTTATTTTCCATCCACACTCCTGTTCTTTACCTCACAGTGCCTTTGGGTGAGTAGGCAAGATCAGGGCACAGGTTTCTTCTTAAGGAGAATTCATAAAGCTACCACTTTTCAAGTTCCGAATCATTGGATCATTTATCTCTGTTAGAAAAGACATATGAAATACAAATTAAAACAAAAAGTGAAGATGATAATTAAATCGTTTATTTCTGTATATATTCAACAATTTTACATTTGCCCTCTTGTAACAAATTCACATTATAACTGCATTATCCTGCTATCCCTCAGTAATAAAACCTACAAAATTTATGCAATTTTACTTTTACTAGATGCTTTGTTTAACTGTTGTAAAAAATATTCTTATGTGCCACAGGGTCCTAACTGAATGATATTTTTTCTGTAAAAGTTAACATAGCGGGTTGAAAAATATGCTTTCCATAACTAATTAAGCGTGGTCAGTTTAGAAGTGTGGTCACTTTGATTAGCTATCTGAGATAATGACTTCCTCTTCTCATTGTTAGTTTCAAGATATTCCACTACTTGCACAGCTTGTTAGCTAGTTAAAAAAATCTACTATATCTTCAATAATTGCTTCTTTTCTTCTTATCTTTGAGATTCTATATGAAGATACTCATACAATAGAAGACAGCCAGGAAAAGTCTTTGAAAGTCAATAACTGTTTTTCTTAAAACTTTACTCTGCCAGAAAATCTTATCACTGGTCAACAACCTTATCACATAAGAAAACACATTAAACTTTAAAACAAAATTGATTTCAATAGACTTAATGGAAACATCTTTATGCAGACTTTTACTGTCTATTTGGTACCAAGGTGAGAAGAAAAGATTGTCTTCCTCTGTAAATCTCGAATAGGTCTCTTACTTTGATTTTTCTTTATCTAGGACATGAGAAAATTGTATATGTGTTGGGTAAAATTCAAAAACAATATCAAGGTATCTTATTTCCTTACCTTGGCAATGAAGTCTTAGTATGCGAACAATACTCTATGTTACTATCTTAATTGAAGTGATATGAACCACATCTATTACTTTGATTTGATTGTTACAACTGGGATACTAATATAAGATTGCTTATTCATTTTATTACCAATTGTTGACAAAAACATAAATATATGAACAAATTTATATGAATAATATTCAAATAATCCTCTAGATTCCATGTATAACATTCTGCTAAAGCAATTGATGTATTTCAAGTTCTTTTTAGAAAGAGATTAATGAAATATAATGTAAAGTGGGGATTGCTGCTTGAAAGAATGGCAATTTTTAAAAGTACAGGTAAATATACCACTGCAATTTTATTACCTCTGTGTTTTCTAGGTAATTCTTACAAAAGTTCTATCCTAAGCCATTATATTATAATTTCATAGGAAAATCAATTCCCTTGGTTTTGCTGAAATATGGTTTCTCTGTTTGCTGAAATAAAGTTTTTGTTAATTAGAAATATATATTTCATATTTGGACTATATTAGTCAGGGTTTTCCAGAGAAACCAAACCAAAAATCTGTATTGTCACTGTCCATTAGAAAAACAGAACACACACACACACACACAAATAGTTTATCATATATAACATTATATATAATACCTATACATATACATTATTGATGTACAGTTGGCCCTTGAATAACACGAGTTTAACAGCATGGGTCCACCTATATGCAATTTTTTTTCTACCTCTGCCACCCCTAGTACAGCAAGAGAAATCCTTCCTCTTTATCCTCGTCCTCGGCCTACTCAATGTGAAAAATATGAGGATGAAGGCCTTTGTGATGATCCACTTCCACTTAATAAATAGTAAATATGTTTTCTCTTTTTCATACTTTTTAATAACATTTCCTTTTCTCTAGCTCACTTCATTGTAAGAATATGGTATATAATAGATATATAACATGCAAAATATGAGCTGGTTGTTTATGTTATCAGTAAGGCTCCTGGTAATCAGTAGGATATTAGTAGTTAAGTTTTGGGGGAGTCAAAATTATTATGCAGATTTTTTACTGTGCTGGGGGTCACTGCTCCTAACTCCTGAATGGCTCAAAGGTCAACTGTATTATGAAGAATTGACTCACATGATTGATTATGGTGCCTGAGAAGTCCCAAGATCTGCTGTCTGTAAGCTTCAAGACCTAGGAAAGCTGGTGGTATAATTCAGTATAAGCTCAAAGGCCTGAGAAACAAAGGAACAAATGATGTAAATCTTAGGTGAGATAACTCAGTTCAAGCAATTACGCAGGAGAAAAGTGCAAAGTTTTCCTTCCTCTGTCTTTTGTTATATTCAGATCCTTAAAAATAACCACTGACTGGGCATGGTGGCTCATGCCTGTAATCCCAGCACTTTGGGAGGTCGAGGCGGGAGGATCACTTGAGGTCAGGAGGTCAAGACAAGCCTGGCCAACATGGTGAAACCCTGTCTCTATTAAAAATACAAAAATTAGCCAGGCATGGTGGCGAGTGCCTGTAATCATGGCTACTTGGGAGGCTGAGGCAGGAGAATTGCTTGAACCTGGGAGGCGGAAGTTGCAGTGAGCCAAGACTGCGCCATTGCACTCCAGCCTGGGCAACAAAAGCTAAACTCCGTCTCAAAAAAAAAAAAAATACCCACCAACAACAGGGAGGCTACCTTTATTTAGTCCACTGATTCAAATGCTAATCTCACTGGGAAACTCCCTTATGGACACATCCGGAAATAATGTTTACTCTGAAGTTACTTGACTCAATCCAGTTGGCACATAAAATTAAAGATCAAAAAGACAAATATTTTTCTCATCTTTTGAAATACATATTCATGTGACACTAAGTTCATTATACAATTTGGAGGGACCAAAGCTAACTAAAAATTGAGATCTCTTTAAAAAGCCAGAAAAGCAGAAAAAGTACATTAAATATACTAAAATATAGAACCTTTAAATGTATATCCTGGTCTCTCTTTCTTAACCTTATAATGGTAATTTTTTTAGCTATTTAATATAATTGTAAGTAAAGAAAATTTAAATTAGAATTATTACCAAGGATTTTATCATTCATTTGTATCATGCAATATCAGATCCAATGAGCTAACTACAAGAACAGTGGGGATGCTGCAACTATCTCAACTGTTTTTATTTCATTTCTTGACATATGCACATTCTACCAGTATCTTCTACATTTGATTTACTGATGAACAAGGAAAGATTAAAATAAACAAAAACTTTTAATTCCCCATCTGCCTTTTTTTCTATGTCATCCTCTTCAGCATAAGTGGTTGGCTGTATCTGTATTTTGTAGAAGTTTATTATCTTCTTTCTCTGTCTGGAGTAGGTTGTAGTTCCAATGAAAAGCATGGCTTCTCAAAGATTTTATCACCCAACTTACTAAACTATAGACCACAGTTAGCTGGTACAGCCATACCTTGTTTTATTGTGCTTCATTTATTGCACCATGGAGTTATTTAATTTTTTCCAAAGTGAATGTTTATGGCAACCCCACATTGAGTGAGTTTATCATTGCCACTTTTCCAACTGTATGTGCTCACTTGGTTTCCCAGTGCCACAGTTTAGTAATTCTCACATTATTTCAAACTTCTGTATTATTATTATATATTTTGTGGGAATCTATGATTAGTGTCTTTGATGTTACTATTGTTATTGTTTGGGGGCAGTATGAATCATACTCATATAAGGTGGTGAACTTAATTGAAAAAAGAGTGTGTGTATTCTGACTGCTCCACTGACTAGCAATTCCCCTATATCTTCCTCTCTTCAAAACTTCCTATTCGCTGAGACACAAAAAAATTAAAATTATGCCGAATAATAACCCTGCGATGGCCTCTAAGTGTTCAAGTGAAACAAAGAACATCTCTCATTTTTAAATTAAAACATCTCTCATTTTAAAATCAAAAGGTAGAAATAATTAAGCTCAGTGAGGAAGGCATGTAGAAGGCTAAAACAGATTCTCTTGGATTCTCCGAATGCTGAGGGAGGTGATGAATCTGCAAACACAAAGTTGAAGCTAGCAAAGATTGGTAAATAAAATTCAAGGAAAAAAACATTTCATAATATAAAAGTTCAAGGTAAAGTAGCAGATGCTGATGTAGAAGCTACAACAAGTTATCCTGAAAGTCTATCTGGCTAAGATAAGTGATGAAAGTAGTTACACTAGCAACAGATTTTCAATGTAGACAAAACAGCCTTTTATTGGAAGAAGATGCCATCTAGAACTTTCATAGCTTGAGAAGTGAATACCTAACTTCAAACTTCAAAGGATAAGCTAACTCTCTTGTTAGGGGCTAATGCAGCTTTTGACTAATACGGATGAAAGACTTACAAATGGATTTAACTCAAAAAGTTCCTCTGTGAGGCACATTATAATCAATCTTTCAAAGTCAAAAAGAATTCTAAAGACAGCAAAGAACAAAGTATCAAATCACATATAAGGGAATCTCCATTGGACTAACTGCCTTTATCAGCAAAATCCTTGCAGGCCAGGCAAGAATGGCATAATGTATTTGTGGAAAAAAGAAAAAAAACCCCCCTCTGTCAACTAAAAATACTATACACAGCAAAGATTAACTTCAGAAATAAAGAAGAAATAAAGTTTTTCTCAGACTAACAAGAACAAATAATTCATCACCATTATCATGACCTACAAAACAGTGCTTATGGGAATCCTACATCTCAAAGCAAAAGGACAATATCTATCACTATGTAAACATGACAGTATAAAACTTAGAGCAGATACACAAATAAAAAACAGGAAGGAATCATATGTTATCACTACAAATACCACCAAATTACAACACTAAACAATAAGAGAGGAAGAAAAAATAAAGGATATAAAAGAAAATCAGAAACCAACTAACACAATGATGAAAGTAAGTCTTCACCTACAAATAACAATTAAAAATTTAAATGATTGACATTCCCAATTAAAATATATAGATCAGCTCAGTGGATGAAAAACACCTAACCAACTATAAGCTGCTTACAGGAAACTTATTTCTCTCTATGTCAGGACAGACAGAGCAACAGTAAAGAGTGGAAAAAGATACTCCACACAAACAGAAAACAGCAGCATAAAGTAGGAGCTCTACTTATATTGGACAAAATAGACTTTAAGGCAAAAACCACAATAAAGAGACAAAGAAGGTTATTATGCAATGATAAAGGGCATGACTCAGGAAGAAGATATAACAACTGTAATTTATGCACCCAAGACTGGAGCATCCAGATATATGAAGTAAATATTTTTAGAGCAAACGAGAGAGATAGACCAAACTACAAAATAGTAGGGAACTGCAACACCCCGTTTTCAGCATTGGACAGATCATGTTTACAGAAAATCAATGAAGAAACATTGGATTTCAACTGCACTACAGGCCAAATTAACCTAACAAGTACAGAACATTTCATCCAATAGCTGCAGAACACACATTCTTCTCATAAACACACATAGACCATATGTTAGACCACAAAAGAAATCTCAGTTACATTAAAAACTTAAATTAATAAAATGTATATTCTCAAACCACAATTTTAAAAAACTAGAAATTAATAATATAACAAGAACAACTCTGGAAACTGTATAAACACATGAAAGTTTCAATAATATGTCCCTAAATGTTCAGTGTTTCAATGATGAAATCAAAAAAGAATAAAAAAATTGATTGAAATCAATGAAAGTAGAAACAAAACATTTCAAAACTTATGGGATACAGCAAAAGCAGTGCTAAGGGGGAAATTTATAGCAATAATAATGTACATCAAAAAAGCAGAAATAATTCAAATAAATGAACAATGCACCTTAAGAAGCTAGAAAAGGAAGAATAAACCAAACTCAAAATTAGTACAAGGAAAGAAACAATAAAGATTAGAGCAGAACTAAACAAAATGTAGACTAACATATAATGTGAACAAATCAATGTAACAAAAAGTTGGTTTTTGAAATATATAAAAAAAATAGACCAACCGCTATTTTGCCTAAGTAAGAAAAAAGGAGAGAAGACCCAAATAAATAAAATCAGAAGTGAAAAAAGGGACATTACAATTGACACTTCAGAAATTCAAAGGATCATTAGACACTAGTGAGAACAACTATATGCCAAAAAATTAAAAACCCAAGGGAAAATTATTTTCTGTACACGTGAAACCTATCACGATTAAGTCAGAAAGAAATAGAAAACATGAACAGAACAATAACCAGTAACTAGATTGAATTCATAATAAAAAGTTTCCCCAAAAGGAAAATGCCAGGACCACAGGGGTTTACTGCTAAATTAAACCCAACTTTTAAAGTAGAACTTGCACCAATTCTTCTGAAACTATTTTAAAAAAATTATCCATATCTCATTTTATGAGGCTGCCATTGCTAAGATCAGACAAAGACAGAACAACAACAAAAACTGAAGGTTAATATCCCTGAAGAACATAACTGCAAAATCCTCAACAAAATATTAACAAACTAAGTCCAATAACACATCAAAAAGATAATACACCATGATCAAGTAGGATTTATTTCAAGAATGGAAGAATGGTTTAACATATAAATATCAGATGTAATTCATCACAATACAATAAAGGACACAAAGCATATGATCATCTCAATAGATGCAAAAAATCATTTGATTAAATTCAATACCACTTCATGATAAAAACTCTCAATATATTTGGTATAGAAGGAATATACCTCAACATAATAAAGGCTACATATAACCAACTTAAGCTAACATCATACTGAATGGGGAAAAACTGAAAGCCTTTTCTTCAAGAGCTGCAACAAAACAAAGATGTTCAATTTTACCACTGTTATTCAAAATAGTACTGGAAGTGCCAGCCAGAGCAACTAGGCAAAAGTAAGAAATAAAAAAGCATCCAAATTAGAAAAGAAGAATTCAAATTTTCCCTCTTCATACATCATAATCTTTTACATAGAAGAACCTAAAGACCACCAAAAAACTCTTAGAACTGATAAACAAATTCAGTAAATTTGCCTGAAACAGAATCACACACAAAATTTATTTGCATTTTTGTAAACCGATAATGAAAATCATCAAGAAAGCAATCACATTTACATATCTACAAAACAAAATAAAATACTGGAAATAAATTTAACCAAGGAGATGAAAGATCTCTACAACAGAAACTACAAAACACTGATGAAAAGGAACTGAAGCGAATACACACAAAAAATGGAAAAACATCCCATACTCATGCACTGGAAGAATTAATATTGATAAATTGAACACACTATCCAAAGCAGCTACAGATTACATGAAAGACCTATGAAATATCTATTTTTTTCCACAGAAATAAACAATACTAAATTCCTATGAGAATATAAAAGATTCTGAATAGTCAAAGCAATACTGAGCAAAAAGAAGAAAGATGGAGGCATCATACTACTTGACTTCAAAATATGCTACAAATTTATTTTTACCAAAGAAGCATGGTTTTTGTAGAAAAACAAACACACGGGCCAATAAAACGTAAGGAGCACCCAGAAATAAATCTATGCTTTTTAACCAACTGATTTTTGACAAAGGTACCAAGAACATGATTTGGGGAAGGAACATTGTTTTCAATAAATGGTGATACAGAAACTAAATATTCCTATGCTGAAGAGTGAAACTATTATAGATCTCCATCTTGACACAAAAATCAACTCAAAATGGATTAAAGAGTTAAGCATAAGACCTGAAATTATCTGCTATCAGAAAACAAAGAGGAAATGCTTCAGAAAATTGGTCTGAGCAAAGATTTTGTGGGTAAGACTTCAAAAGCTCAGGCAACAAAACTTAAAATAGATAAATGAGACCACATCAAACTAAAAAGCTCTGAACAGCAAAGAAAACAACAGAGTGAAGAGACAACCTGTAAAATGGGAGAAAATACAAGCAATCTATTCATTGACAAGGGACTAATATCCAGAATATACATGTAAGTCAAACAACTTAGCAGCCAAAAAGAGAGAGAAAAAAATAGATTTTTTTAATTGGCTAAGGATCTAATAAACATTTATCAAAAGAAGGCATATAGGCTGGGCGCGGTGGCTCACGCCTGTAATCCCAGCACTTTGGGAGGCCAAGGCGGGCAGATCACGAGGTCAGGAGATCGAGACCATACTGGCTAACACGGTGAAAGCCCGTCTCTACTAAAAATACAAAAAGTAGCCAGGCGTGGTGGTGGGTGCCTGCAGTCCCAGCTACTCGGGAGGCTGAGGAGGGAGAATAGTGTGAACCCGGGAGGCGGGGCTTGCAGTGAGCCGAGATCGCACCACTGCACTCCAGCCTAGGGGACAGAGCAAGACCTCGTTTCAAAAAAATAAAAGGTATATAAATGACCAAGAAGTAAATTAAAAAATGCTCAACATCACTAATCATCAGAGAAATGCAATAAAAACCACAATGAGAAATCATCACACCCCAGTTAAAAGGACTAATACACTGCATGTTTTCACTTGGATATGGGAGTTTTTTGTTGTTGTTGTTGTTGTTGTTGTTGTTTTTTTTTTTTTTTGTTTAAAGAGCTCATAGAAATAGAGAATAGAATTGTGGTCATTAGAAGTTGGGCAAGTTAGTGGGAGGGGATTATAAAACGAATTTGGTTAATGAACACAAAGTTACAGCTAGATGGAAGAAAAAACTTCCAGTGTTTTGTAGCAGTGTAAGGTAAACATTGTTAACAATCATTTAGTGTATATTTTCCAAAAGCTAGAAGAGAAGAATTTGAATGTTAACAACATGAAGAAATGATAAGTACTTGGGTTGACAGATATGCTAATTACCCTGATTTGATCATTACATATTGTATATTTGTTTCAAAATATCACTCTGTAACCCACAATTATGTACAATTATTGCATGTCAGCTCAATATAAAAAATAAATAAATTGTCACCAATTTTTTACATGGTGGTATGAGTGAATTTGCTTTTTCAATTCTAATTTTGAGCAACTCACAGTCTGCTCTCAGATCCCCACCTATCTAGGTTGTATTGTAAGGTACATCTAATTGATCCACCAATAGTAATGGTTCTAACCTCTTCCCTAGTACATTTTTTTTTCTATTTGTATCCAGACATGAGCAGAAATCAACTAAAATAACCATGATTCTTCTACATCTTTTACCTCAAGACAAAATTTAGAATTATAAAAACCACAAAGCCAGAATTATTTCTGTGGAATTTTATGTGTTATATCATACTTCTTCATTCCTAAGTCTATGAATTTGGTATATATTATATACATGCATTAGGAGGAAAAATGCAAAAATTAAAAGCACAGTGTATAGGGTGAGAGAAAACAACTATCTGAAAAAATTTACATACACAATAATTGCTTTGGGGAACAACTCTCTGAAATCAATAAAATGGAAAAAAATCCTTTTTTATTAAAAACCTTTTTTTTAAAGAATCAGATGGAAGAGGAATTCAGCCATGGCTGAAAAGCCAAATGCTTGTCTTTATTTTAAGAAAAATAATTTATAAATGATCTTCCAGAGACATTTTTCATTTCACTAAATTCAAAAAAAATGTAATGTAGTTCGTTATCTGATACAAATATTGAAGAACATAACAGACACATTTTCTAATACACAGATTTCAAGTTTGAATGTCTTTCATTATATCTCTGCTAGAAATAAAGACTTTATATTAAAGTATAACCATTCATAAATGGGAGGGTAGGTGGTGTGCAGGCTAATCTATTTGTAGTTTTATATCATAGTGTAGGGAATGAAGTTAAAATTCATTACTGTGTCATATAAGTAAACAATTCTGAATCTAACCTACCTTCCTTTAGAGCTTTCCACTATTTTCCCTCAGAGACATTCTTTAAATCTGACCTATGTAATGTTCCTCCTTATGCCCCATGGTTGGTTTCGATTTTCCATTACACATATCTAAAGTCAAAACACAGTTCAGATGCCACTCCCAATAAATTCTTCCTTTTTCCCCAATCCTAAATATTCCTGACCACCCCCAAACTCCAGTTCTTTATTCCATTATCTGCAGACCTTTGTGATTCTCTTAATACTTCAAATAAAATTTTAATATATGTGAACTAATTGTCATAGAACCCACTTCCAAAATTGCACTAACATTCTATATTGCTTATCATATTTATAATATCAATACCCTAACACTCACCTAACTAGAGTTGTATTTTTAAAATTCATTTATTCATTAGAAGTAGTCAACGTAATGCAAACTTTCCAATAAAAAGTTACCTTTAAGGCCGGGCGAGGTGGCTCATGCCTGTAATCCTGGCACTTTGGGAGGCCGAGGCAGATCACGAGCACAGGAGTTCGAGACCAGCCTGGGCAACATGGTGAAACCCCATCTCTACTAAAATACAAAAAATTAGCCGGACGTGGTGGCATGTGCCTGTAGTCCCAGCTACTTGGGAGGCTGAGGCAGGCGAAATGTTGAACCTAGGAGGCAGAGCTTGCAGTCAGCAGAGATTGCGCCACTGCACTCCAGCCTGGGTGACAGCGTGAGACTCTGTCTCAAAAAAAAAAAAAAAAAGTGACCTATAATAACTTTTGCATTAATACACACATATTTTGTGCTCATGCTCCCATGTCTTTCTGTTTCTTTTACTCTCCCTAGTAGCTTCTCTGGCTACCACTGTGCATTAGATAAAGTAAGACCCTCCATCAGAGACTCAGATTTAAACTGTGAAAGGAATTAAGGGATATCATCCATCTCAGCAACAAACCATTGTAGTTATTTTAACTGTTTCCAGGTCGTCATTCTATATTTTCTCCCATTTACTTCTTTAAACATGTTGGGCTAAATTAGAATCAATTTATTCTTTAATTCACAAAAAGTTCTTAGAGTGGTTTCTTCTCTTCATGTTATTGAGCTACAGACGTCAAATTTAACTGCTGTCTTTGCTGTTCTTTTCTCTCTTCAATCTGTTTCTATTGATGTAACCACTGAGCTATCTTCTTTGACCTGCTTATTTCTCAAGATTTCTCACACAACTGTGGAAACTCCCTGTTTCTTACTGAATGAACTTCATAGAACAATGAACCTCATACCACAGAACTACTCAGGAAGACTTGATATTGAGCCCGTAAAAATGTTAGGGTTTATTTATTAGTTGTTTCATCACAGTAATCTCAAGAGGAATAGGAAAAACATGAAAGAAAAAAGGAATAAGCCACTGACACAGTGGGCTTAAGCTTTGATGTGCAATGTGGAATGCTCACTATGATATTTATTCTCTGTCCCAATGAACTGGGAAATGGGGATGGAGTCCATAAATCTACGTGGTTTTAAACCACCTCAAAGGTGAGAGATCATTTAAGGTGAGATTACTGGATTGCCTTGTGGTTACTTTTGTGCTGCCTCATGTAAGCAAAATACTAAAGAGAGCTATGGGCAAATGTGGAAAGTTATTCCAGAGAAGTATTTGAAGCTGTTATAACATAAATTTACTTGGGAAAAAAATTGTGTGGAAGAGTTAAGCAAAGCATATTTGAAGGAATTAATGTCATCTTGTTACCGGTGTAGGAGATCTGAGTTACCCTGAGTTACTGACTCCAAATTCCTATGGGTCTGCAGCAATTTCAGTTCTCGTCTCCTCAGAAGAAAGAATTCGACTGAGGGGCATAAAGCAGAGAGACCAAAGCAAGTTTCAGAGCAGAAGTGGAAGGTTATGTAAAAAGCTTTAGAATAGGAAAGAAAGGAAGATTTACTTGGAAGAGATCCAAGAGGGCACCTGAAGGTCAAAGAAAGAAAAGGGGCATTTAACCTTGATCCTAGGGCTTTTATAGGCTTGCCTCTTTACCATGATTCTTCCCTTAAGGTGGGCTTCCCTCATGCGCAGTGTCCTTCCTACCTTTGGGAATTGAACACACACAGTATGTTTAGAAATTTGTATGCATGCCTATCTGAGGCTTTCTTCATTTTTTTTTTCTAGTGGAGTGTCCCTGGAAGGTCATATGTCACCATCTTCTCTCCTAGTGCACATACCCAGGAAGTTTCTTCTCCCTGGAATCTGCATTCAATCAATAATTTAGTGTTAACAGCTGTGGAGCATCAGGAGATTGTCTCTCCCTGGCTTTGAAAAAGTAGTGTACCTAGTGGGTGGGGTCAGAGCCCTTTCCTGCCATGCTCATGCCATCTAACTACCTGTAATAATCTGTGTCCACTCTACAACTTGATTGGAAACATTACTTTTCTATCAAATGAAGGCTCCCAATATTCTCTTTCTACCTTTCTAGCATAATTTTTTTATTTGGATGTACAAAATCATTTAGTTGTATAAGAAATATATTATTCCTTTGGAAGATTAAGTGTAATTGGTTTATAATATAAATAGGTTCCACCTATAACTTACCATGCTATCCCCACTGTTAACTTTATTCAATTGTAAATACAACCAAAGTATTATTTTTACCTAGAGTATCGTAAGTGCCAGCTACTTAGCTGAATCCTAGAATTTTCTGAAGGTTCATCTTATTTTCATGTAGTTTACCTAATTTTAAACTACACATTCTACCCTGTGTCGTCTTGATTTCACCGAAGAAGGCCTATAACTTCCCACGGTTTATCACTTGCGTTTTCAAAATGATACTATTTCAGCCTTCTCTAGAAATGTCTTATGTCCTTTTAAGGATAAAATAACATATTTTTTTCCCAGGTTAAAACGCTTTTGATTTCTGATAAATTTTGGCTCTGCAAATCTCATCTCGAATTGTAATTCCAACGTGTTCCTATTGTGGGAGGGACTTGTAATCTTCACGTGTCAAGGGAGAGAGGTGATTAGATCATGGGGCTGCTTATCCCCGAGCTGTTCTTGTGATAGTGAATGAGTTATCACTAGATCCGGTGCTTTTATAACCCTGTGGAAATTCCTCTTTTGTCCTTCTCTCTCTCCTGCTACCTTGTGAAGAAGGTGCCTGCTTCCCCTTCCACCATGATTGTAAGTTTCCTGAGGCCTCCCCAGCCATGCAGAACTGTGAGTCAATTAAACTTGTTTCCTTTATAAATTACCCAGTCTCAACGAAGTTCTTTATAGCAGTGTGAAAACAACTAATACAATCTCCTTGTTATTTCATCCCCAACTCTCTTCCTTCTTTTTCACTATAAATACTTCAACAGTACCATAAATTTTCAATGTCAAAAAAAAAAATGAGATAACCCTACAATTAGGTGACTAATCTTAATTATTTTTCACCCAAGTGATTTTCACCTCCATTCCCTTTTAGTTATTTTTACAATGTTTCTCACTATAAATCTTATAACCACCCAAGGGTTTTCTACTTCAGTATGTTAAATTTAAAACCCTCTCTCTCTGTCATCTCAGCTATTATCTTTCAAAGTGTCTCACATTTTCTATAACAACATTTCCTGCCCCTTTAGGTTCAGAACCACAGGTTCTAATTTGAACTTCTCTGTCACCAGTTTTTGTCTAATCTCTTATACTCTAATCTACCCTCACAGAAAGCCTCTTCAGATTGATATTTAAATTCAGAATCCCTGTTTATATACCTAGAAACTGGAAGAATTGGATAGAAAAGGCCACTCCAGGTCTATAACATGGGAAACTACAAAGTCATGATCTCCAAAATAACTTGAACCATTGACATTCCCCTTTTAGACTTTGCTTACCATTTTGTTCAAATGTCTGAAGAAAAACAAATGCAAAATGTCACCCCTGACTTCAAGATTCCTCTATATCTCTACAACTTCACCCTCAATAAGTGCTCCTGATTCCAACCTGATCAAGAAAATTAAACAGGCATCTCTTCCCTAAATTCTCATAGGACTCCATAGGCACAAAATGTTATCTTGAAGAAGTTTTCCCTAATTTTCTTCTAAAGCTTGACTTAAATATGGATTGTTCTGGGATATAAAACCTGGACAAACTACATCTCAATCCACATTATCCAAAAAATTAAAAAGCTATATCTTTGTCAAATGTTTATGAATGTTTGAGATTATTAATTTAACTTCAAGGGTATTCTTATATAAGGACATAATAATCACAGAAAAGTTTTAGGAAGTTATCTTGAACTAATTTGATGACTGAATTTATTGGTAACTTTAAGAATAAATCACCTAGAAGTTTCCTTGATTTAGCAAGTGTAATAATTTTATGTAATAATCTGAAAATGAAAGTTTTCTTGTAGATTATAAAATGATTTATATAAAATAATGAAGTTTATGCAGATCATCATGGCTTCTGATGTTACATTATCTGAATACATCATCCAAAGAGTGTTGTTTTCCTGTTTCTAAACTGAAAAAATAAAATAAGCAGTAAAAAGTGAATAAATACAAATAGTAAAATACATAACTGAATCAATGGACACTGAGAAAAAATGATTATCTTATCTGCTTTATATATATTCTTATTAAAATTATTTCAATTATAAAAATGGGAAGATAAAGTTAAAACCTGTAAAATTGTCTAAATACCACCCAAAAATATGTAAACAGGTTATCTGGACAAATAAGTGGCAGAGGGACATTTTTTTTACCATAGACACTTTTCTACATGATATGGGATTTTAGCTAAGGTTCATGGATTTAGCACAAAAAAGAGCATTTGGTCTTTGCATTTATCTGCTTTTCTAAGATTATAATTTAGGTTAACTATTCATTAAAAGTATAGCCAAGCAAAAAGATGAAATTAGCGAAGATTGGATTGGCAGAATTATTTTCCTCTTCCACATTTAAATCATAGGCATCAATTATGCAGCACTCTGCCCAGGTTTACTAAATAATAAGCAGCATTTTTTTGGTCATCATTGTTTTCCTTCTAATTTCTCATTCCCATGCTGTCAAAAGCTATAAAGAATCTTTTCTTGCCAATTTTTCCTATGACTATGAATTCCATCTATTCTATGTCCCGGAATTCCTCCTCTAAAGAAAATATTATTAAAATGTTTGCAACATTAAAACAAATTTTTTTCTATTCACAAAGCAACAGCAAGAGAAAGCGGAACAGTGCAGAAGGCAATAAATATTCTGAGTCTTTCCTGAAAATAGCTCTTTGTGCTTTCAGCCTTCAGTTGGTGCACCTATGTTAAAGTTATGTTCTAATTAATTACTGAAATTTAAAAGTGAGAATATGAGACAAGAGATCAAGTATTTGGAAAGGTGTTGTATTTATGGACCTGCCTTCATGATGTCCTCTAGGTTTCATTGTATGCATCTGTGAAGTAAGGGGTCCTGTGTACCACAAAACCTTCAAATACCATTGTTGCAAAAACCTGATTAATAACTAGACCAAAAAGCTTCTCCAAAATTTGTGAATTTCTGTCTCTGTAAAATTGACTGAATCATCTTTTACTTTCTCAGATTTTGCTTTACAAAAGTTTGACTTACCTGATGATCTACGTGGTTTGTTTGTTTGTTTGAGATGGAGTCTCACTCTGTCGCCCAGGCTGGAGTACAGTGGCGTGACCTCGGCTCACTGCAACCTCTGCCTCCTGGGTTCACGCCATTCTCCCGCCTCAGCCTCCCAAGTAGCTGGGACTACAGGTGCCCACCACCACACCCGGCTAATTTTGTTTTTGTATTTTTAGTAGAGACGGGGTTTCACCGTGTTACCCAGGATGGTCTCGATCTCCTGACCTCATGAGCCGCCCACCTCCGCCTCCCAAAGTGCTGGGATTACAGGTGTGAGCCACCACCCGGCCAATCTATGTCTTTTTAAAAATTATCATCAGTAAAACAGTACATTTAAACTCTGTACAACATGAGTTTGAACTGCAAGTGTCCACTTAAATGCAAATTTTCTTCTGCCTCTGCCATCCCTGAGTCAGCAAAACCAATCCTTCCTCTTCTTCCTCCTCAGCCTACTCATTATGAAAGCTGAAGGATAAAGACCTTTATGATGATCCACTTCTATTTAATGAATACTACATGTATTTTCTCTTCCTTATTATTTTTTCATAACATTTTCTTTTCTCTGGCCTACTTTATTGTGAGAATACAGTAGAATTTTTATATATCATACAAAATATATGCTAATTAACTATGTATGTCATTGATAAGGCTTATGATTAACTGTAAGCTATTAGTAATTTAATCTTTGGGGAGTCAAATGTTATACATGGATTTTTGACTGTGCTGGGGTCAGTGTTCCCAACCCCTACACTGTTCAAAGGTAAAATGTATTTTAAAAGATTTTGTAAATACGGTTGTTGGAAAAGTTTTCCACTATTTGTAATTTCTTTAAAAAGAACACATGTAAAAAATGATCTGCAGCTTGTTTTTATTTTATTTTATAACTTTTCATTTTGAAATAGAGACTATCAAACATTTTCAGAAATAACAGAACACGTTTTTATATACCTTCATTCACCTTCCCCAATTGTTTTAACATCCTGCATAAGCATAGAATTATTAGCCAATAAAAAAAATAATATTGTATCAAGTTAAAGTAATTGATTAGTAACAGATATTATTAACTATTAACTAATCAACACATTTCAGCCATACTGTACTAGTTGTTTGCTAGTCTACTTTTCTTACTTTTACTAACATTTACATGCAAGATTTCACATTGCATTCAATCGTTATGTGTTCTTAATCTGCTCCCATGGGGAACAATTTTTTGTCATGTGAAAAAATGTTCAGTTTCTCTTTATCTTTCATGATGACACTTGAGAAGTACTGGTCAGCAATTTCTCCCCCGTCTTAAAACTGGCTTATAGTCATTGAGAGTAAAAAGATTGAAAAAAATAAGAAACATTATGAAAATCTGTCACATTAAGATTAAGAATCTTCTTCAGGTAAAATGTGCATTATCTTGTTCTTATGCTGACTATGGGTTACCTGTGAACTCCTCTTTTATTCTCCCATTTATGTTATGTGAGTAAAGCAAATTTGACAGATAGAGACTTTTCCCTTAGTTTTTTGTTTTGTTTTTACTTTTAAAAATATCTACTTGTTCTCATGCTCTTTTTCTAAACAAAAGAAAAAGTAATGAAAGTTGTAGCAAAAGATGGAGAATTGTATATCCCTAAAGAATTGTATATATCTACATTATTTCATTTTGTTATTGCAAACATAATATTTTGATAGTTTAGTTGTTAATATATATAAACATGAAATTTGATTGTCGGGTTGCTTCATTTAATATTTGTTAACTTTGAAATACAGGGTTTGGGTTTCATGAACACTAAAGACACTTTCCTTTCTAACTCTACTAAGCCTTTGTCTACTTAGAAATAATTCCTATGATGTTAGAGTTAATCCTCTATCCCAAAATGGAAAGTCATCAATATACTATCCAAATATATAACCAACAAATTTAATGATAACATTGATTATCCTATTCCTTCACTTTAGCATTTTAATATTTTTCTTCTGAACAATAAAAATAGTCAATAAATTGGACACTTTAGAAAATAGAAATGGTGTCAACCAAAATAAAGTCAGAATAGGTAAGACAGATAAGTGTTTTGATAAATAGGAAATTAGAAAGAACTTTACACAGTCTCCATATAACTGAGAATTTATTTTGGGCTCAGAAACCTGTGACTGGCATAGGCACTTTATGAAGCAATATTACATCTGCAACTCATTAAAATAACTTGTGTTTGTGGCTGGGCACAGTGGCTCACGCCTGTAATCTCAATACTTTGGGAGGTCGAGGCAGATGGATCACAAGGTCAGGAGGTTGAGACCATCCTGGCCAACATGGTGAAACCTGTCTCTACTGAAAATACAAAAATAAGCCAAACGTGGTAGCACACGCCTGTAGTCCCAGCTACTCAGGAGGCTGAGGAAGGAGAATCACTTGAACCTGGGAGACAGAGGCTGCAGTGAGCCGAGATCACACCACTGCACTCCAGGCTGGGCAACAGAGCAAGACTCCATCTCAAAATAAATAAATAAATAAATATCTTGTGTTTGAATCTAGAAGCAGCATAGGGCAAATGGTGTTTAGATCTCATAATGCTGTTTAATCTTAGTATAAAAGACAAGTTACAATAAATTATAGGCAAAATAATATTAATATTATAATAGAGATTATTCAATTCTACACTGCAAACCATTCTTTTTAAGTGTCTTAATTTTTTTCTTAAATACTTCTGTTCAAAGTTTTAAGCAACTATGTTAATTAAAATTCTACTTCAATGATTGTACTTTACCACATTTTCCCAAAACTATCCTTTTGTCTGGAACATATGAAGCAAGTTTTATATAAATCACATTTATTTGTTTATATTTTATATGCAAGAAGCTGTATCAGTTTAAAGAATGATGGGTTAGTTTTGACTGTTTATATGCCTATGAACACATTGCCACAATAAAGATACAAAATTTTGCTATCACCCACAAAGTTCTCTTTGTCCCCCATGCAGTTTATATTCTCCCCTGTCCCCAAGGTCAAGGAGTCACCAAAATGTTATTTCATTATAAAGTGTGTTTGCTATAGTCTGCATGTTTATGTATTTCTAAAATGTATATATTGAAACCCATTCCCCATTGTGAGGTTATTTGGAGGTAGAGCCTCTGGGAGGTAATTAGGTCATTGGAGTGAAATGCTCACAAATGAGATTAGGGCCTTTAAAAAAGAGCTCCCAGAGAGCTGCTGTGACAGTTAATATTAAGTGTCAACTTACTTGGATTGAAGGGTGCAAAATATTCTTTCTGGATATATCTGGGTGTTTCTGGGTGTTGCCAGAAGAGATTAACTTTTGAGTCAGTGGACTGTGAGAGGAAGAATCTTTAGGAAGACTTATTCACAATGTGTGAGGCATCATAAAATTGGCTACCAGCACAGCTAGAAAAAACAGGCAGAAGAAGGTGGAAAGAGCTGTTGACTTGCTGAGTATTCCAGCCTTCATTTTTCTCCCTTTCTCCCATGCTGGATACTTCCTGCCCTTGAACATCAGACTCCATGTTCTCCAGCTTTTGGACCCTTGGAGTTACACCCATGGTATGCCAGGGGCTCTTGGGCCTTTGGCCACAGACTGAAGGCTGCACTGTGAGCTTCCCTGCCTTTGAGGTTTTGGGACTCAGACTGGCTTGCTTGCTACTCGGCTTGAAGATGGCTTACCGTGGGACCTCACTTTGTGAGTCAATTCTCCTAATAAACTCCCCTTCTATGTACATCTATCCTATTAGTTCTGTCCTTCTAGAGGCTCATGACTAATACAGCTGCCTTGCCCTTTCCTCTAGGTAATGACACAGTGAAAAGGCACCATTAAGGAACCAGAAAGCAGGCCTTCACCAGACCTACAGTCTGTCAGCACCTTGATTTTGGACTTCCCAGCCTCCAAAACTATGAGAAATAAATTTATGTTGTTTATAATCTACCTAGTTTATGATATTTTGTTACAGAGCCAAAGCAGGCTAAGATTGCAGTTTCTAGAATTTTATAAAAATGGAATATTATAGTATATATTCCTTTGTGTCTGATTTTTCTAACTTAGCATAATAATTTTTAAAATCTTTCATGCTTTTTTATGTGTCATTGGTGTATTACTTGTATTACTGAGTACACTTCTATTCACCCGTTGGTTGGATTTAATTCAAATTCCCGTCTACTGTAAATCAAGTTCTGATGAATAACTGGCTCCAAATCTATGTGGGAATATATGATTTCCTCTGTCTTGGTGGAATACTTAGGCATGGAATGTCAAAGTTAGAGTGTATATTTATATTTGAATCTTTAATGAACTGCTGCATACTTTTCCAGAGTGGTGTAGTTCCATTTTACAATCTCTCCTCAGCTGTGTAGGAATTACTATTGTTCTTCATTGTTGTTAACATTTGATATTGTCATGTTTTTGTTGTTCTTTCTGGCACTTTTGAAGGGCATAAAAATGGCATCCTATTGTTTTCTCTTAAATTTTAATAATTAATGATGTTTTCACATAGGCTTAGTTATCCATTAGTCTTATTTTATAAAATACTATTTTGTGAATTTGTTGGGGTAGTAGAGTATTATATATAAGATTTTTAAACGTATTCTGAATACAATAACTTATTCAGATGTAAGTGGTGCTACATGTTTGCTAATTCTGTGGTTTGCCTTATTTTCTTAACTATGTATTTTTTAGAGTTTTAATTAGAAAAAGCATATTTTTTTAATTTTTATTTTATTGTTTATTTTTTGTTTTCATGAAATTGTCTGATAATGAAAACTGTGAAAAAAAAATTTGTTTTTTAAGCTATCCAGTGAGTGGTATTTTACGATGGCAGCTTCTAGTAAGAGTAATTCAATATATTTTAAAGTTATTTGTGTATATCTTGTATTTTTAATTGATCAAAATAATCAGTGCTTCTTTAGTACTGTTTGTTTTGTTTTGTTAATCATAGAGTTTACTATTAGTGTCAATGAATGTTAGCAGGAAAAGAAATTAGGATTATTATTTTATGTTTAAATTAAAATTAATATGTTTAATATGTTTAAATGCCTAACATTTAAGAAATAGATACTAATCAATTTAAAATTTAACAAGGCACATTAATTTCCCTTGACTGGTGAAAGGCTCATTTAATGTGTTAGGGGACAATCATAATGAGTCATAAGTTATCTTCAGTAATTAAGATCATAGGTAACAACAAAGATAATAACCTTATAATATTTAATAGAAAGTATGCAAGCATTGGCTTATTATTCTCTATCATGTCATTCATTAACAGGAACCACTTACTTATTTTTTCTTAGTGGTATATCCTAGATGTTTGCATTTTGTATTGCATATTCAAGTAAATGATATTATTTATAGTGTAGACTTTTGTTTATGATTGCCCCATTTGAGAACACACATTTTTAGTAAAATATGAAACAAATTTGTTTAAACCACTTGAAGCCTGGGAATTTCTTCAGCTCTGGAATCAGAAAACCAAATGTAACATTCTAGAGAGACTTTAGTGTATTTATTTATAAGTTATATAGCCAATTGATATGGTTTAGCTCTATGTCCCCACCCAAATCTTATCTCAAATTGTAATCCCCATGATCCCCACATGTGAAGGGAGGGACTAGGTGAGAAGTGGTTGGATCATGGGGGCAGATTCCCCCATGTTGTTCTTATGATAGTGAGTTCTTATAAGATTTGATGGTTATTTAAGGCAGTTTTCCCTGCTCTTGCTTGCTGTCTTTCGTCTGCCACCATGTAAGATGTGCCTCTTTAGCCTTCGGCCATGATTGTAAGTTTCCTGAGGTCTCCTCAGCCATGCGGAACTATAAGATAATTAAACCTCCTTTGTTTAT